>NC_000013.11:114038674-114196501 GCF_000001405.40 Homo sapiens
AGCGCAGAGGATGAGGGTTGCCAGGGCAAGACGGTTCCCAGAGGACGAGGGTTCCCAGAGGACGAGGGTTCCCGAGGGATGAGGGTTCCAGGAGGATGAGGGTTGCCGGGGGACAAGGGTTCCCAGAGGACACCAGGCCATCCAGTCCCCCAGCCCAAATTTGCCCTGAACTTGCGGGCACAGAGCCTCCATCCGACCCACCCAGTTGCCTCTGCTGAAGTCTCAGGCGAAGTCCTCACAAGGAACCTATTTTGGGGATTTGTCCAGGATGCCAGCCTCCAGGTGTAAAAATAACCATCACAGCCACCAATTTACGATGCGCCAGGTGCCTTCGAGTGGCACACACGCCATACCAGCACGCTTCACAAACCCACCCAGATGGGAAAACTGAGGCCTGCAAAGGACGTTGGCAACAATCCGATGAGGGAGCTGGCTCCGAGCCTGGCGGCCTGTGCTGGGACTCTGCACTCAGACACACACTGTGGTACCAGCTGAGGACCCAGGAAGCCCTCCCACATCCCAGGGCCGCTGTGCTGCAACCCCATACTCAGACACTCACCCTCCTACGTCCCAGGGCCGCTGTGCAGCAACACTACACTCAGACACTCACTGCGGTCCCAGCTGAGGACCCAGGAAGCCCTCCTGTGTCCCAGGGACGCTGTGCAGCAACCCTACACTCAGACACTCACTGCGGTCCCAACTGAGGACCCAGGAAGCCCTCCCGCGTCCCAAGGGCGCTGTGCCACAACCCTACACTCAGACGCTCACTGCGGTCCCAGCTGAGGACCCAGGAAGCCGTCCGGTGTCCCAGGGACCCTGTGCCGCAACCCTACACTCAGACACTTACTGTGGTCCCAGCTGAGGACCCACTTGGGAAACCCTCCCACGTCCCAGGGTTGGGCCACGGTGCCTCTTGCTTGTGGCCTTTGCAGCTGCTCTGTGTCACAGACCAGGGCTCAGGGTGACCCCACAGGAGCTGGTGCAGGCTTGGGCTCCGGTGGACTGACCCCCACTGCTCCCTCTGTTACAGGCAAGCCTGGAGCAGCTGTTGCCGGGCAGCTGGGCACCGTGCGTCCGTGAGCAGCTGTGAACACAAGGGTCTGGGACATGGGCCCCAGCACTGGAGCCCCCGGTCTTGCGTGGGGAGGTGGGACAAGCTCCCCCCACTGGACAGGACCGGGGTGAGCCCCAGTCAGCACACAGTCCCGGCAAGCCAGGGTGAGCCCCTGGCCACTTTCGACAATGGACACGGGAGACCAGAACGCTCTTTCAGCTCAGACCCTTCTTGGTGCCGCGTGCCAGGCAACAGCCCGCCCAGCCAACCGTGGGGAAGTGAGGGTCCCTGAGGGCTGACCCTGGCTCGGCCCTTCCCCACCCATGTTTTCTCTTGGGCCTCAATGACGCGTGCCTGTCCTTTCCCACCGTGTTTGTTTTCACAGCTTCCTCAGTTGTGCATGACAAAGGGCGGCAGTAGGCAAAGGGAAAACCCAAAATCCATGCACGGAGCCCAGGCTCACTCCGAGCACAAGTGGGCGAACAGACACAATGCAAAATCCATGACAGAGCCTGCGCTCACTCCGACCACAAGCGGGTGAACACGCCCAACCCAAAATCCATGGCAGAGACCGCGCTCACTCCGAGCACAAGCGGGCGAACACGCACAACCCAAAATCCATGGCAGAGACCGCGCTCACTCCGAGCACAAGCGGGCGAACACGCACAACCCAAAATCCATGGCAGAGACCGCGCTCACTCCGAGCACAAGCGGGCGAACACGCACAACCCAAAATCCATGGCAGAGACCGCGCTCACTCCGAGCACAAGCGGGCGAACACGCACAACCCAAAATCCATGGCGGAGCCCGCGCTCACTCCGAGCACAAGCGGGCGAACACGCACAACCCAAAATCCATGGCGGAGCCCGCGCTCACTCCGAGCACAAGCGGGCGAACACGCACAACCCAAAATCCATGGCAGAGCCTGCGCTCACTCCGAGCACAAGCAGGCAAACACGCACAACCCAAAATCCACACGCGGAGCCCGCGCTCACTCCGAGCACAAGCGGGCGAACATGCACAACCCAAAATCCATGGCAGAGCCTGCGCTCACTCCGAGCACAAGCAGGCGAACACGCACAACCCAAAATCCATGGCGGAGCCCGCGCTCACTCCGAGCACAAGTGGGCGAACACGCAATCTGCTCATCGTTATTCCCAGTCAAGGCCGAAGCCCGATCTACGTCTTTAGCCACAGTCGGAGCCGGGCCCGTCTCGAAGCCCCATGGTGTCCCAGGGCTCTGGTTTCCGGGGCTGCGCCGAGAGTCTCACCTGCACTTCCGAGTCAGCGTCCACGTGCTGCAGCTGGAACCAGGTGTCCCTGTTGTGGTACTTCTGCAAGTCCTCCTTCTGGATGGCCACCTTCCCTGCAACACAAGCAGAGAAGACTTCACCACGGGCACAGGCCCCAGAGCCAGGACGCCTGTGAGCAGAAGCCAGCCCATCATCACCGCAGCTTATTTCCAACAGTTTAATTCAGAATGGGGCACCGGCCGGGTGCGGGGCTCATGCCTGGAACCCCCACGCTTGGGAGGCCCAGGGGGGAGGGTCGCTTGAGACCAGCCTGAGCGATATGGTGAAAACTTGTCTCTACAAAAAATAAAGGAATGAGCCGGGCATGGTGGCACTGTATCTCTAAAAATTGATATTAAAAAGTCAAAATAATCAGGTGCAGCGGTAAGTCTCCACTGTGTCCCTTCCAGTAAGGCGTTCCAGAGGCTTCGCTGTGAAGGCGCGAACGTCCGCTCCATCGGCAATGTGCGCCTCACTTTCACTGTGGTCCGTGGCCAGTTCTCACAGCAGGAGGTGCCTCGGAGCTGGCTGCACCAGAGCTCTGATCTCACAAATGAACACCCCGTGCCTCACACACCACCAAGGCAGCAGCATCACGCCACAAGAGACACGTGTGCACCCGTGCGAGCGACAGCCTGAAACACACGTGTGCCTAGGGTGCTTTCCGTGTGTGTGGACACGCACGTGTGTGCATGCATGTGGGTGCTCAGGTTATTCACAGGCAGGACTGAGAGCCAGAATGAGCTGCCACCTTCCCACGCGACGTGGGTTGGTCTGAATCTGTGCCTCTAAAGTGTAATGAATGAGCCGCCTTCTGGGACCCCTGGAGAGCCTGAAAGTGTAGATTCCTGGCCTTCTCCAGACGGAGGAGAACAGAGGCTCTGGTGTGGGCTGGAATCTGCACCACCACAGGTCCCTGGGCACTTGTGTGGGCCCCAAAGTCTGGGAACGTCCACTCTAAACAGTTTCCCGTGCCTTAAACAGGCTTAGTACTTTGGGGCTACGCTTCCAGTGAAAATACGTATCAGAATATATTTGTACAATATACGTTTACCTAGTATGGATTTATATGTGTAAATTCGCATCTGCAACCATTATTATCTGCTTATACGTTCACCTCATTCCAGAAACATTCCCGAGGCGCGGCAAACGTGTGCCCATCCCATCCCCGGCAGGACAGGGCTTGTCAGGCGCTGGGCACCGAGCCATCTCCCATCCTGCGTCCCTTCATGGCACCACCATGTCAACCCTGCCAGTGGCCTCCGCACACTGCGGACCACGCCACCCACCACGGTGAGCACCCACGGCAGCACATGCACCTCTGTTGACCGATGCACGTGAACTCCTAGGGAGTCGCACACACATGTGAAGTCTGAGCCCATCACAGAGCACACACGAGAGCAGGAGTGAGGAAGGAAATGTTGGCAGACTCCTCACGTCTTCGTTCTGCACCCAGAGACACACACGCCCTCCTTAAGGATCTTGGTCCAGTCACTGAAGTGAGAAACTCTGGGTCCCCGCAGACCCGGTTCACCGCAGCGTCCGCAGCCACAGGGTCTGAGCACATTGTGCATGACCTGGGCTCCCGGGAGCGGCCTGGGCCTCCTACCCGGCCACCCTGCCTCACGCCAGGACAGCGCAGCCCAGCCCCGGTTCTCTCTTCCAAGGAAGATCCTTTTATATTTCCGTGTCTCAAAAAACTTCCGCAGGCTCCCATCGGAACAACCCTGGCCTGGCATCCAGCAGCCACATGCTTGGGCCTGATTCTCTGTCCAGCCTCAGTAAATTCGGGAACACTCCACTGCCAGCCTCTCACAGGTGCCATCTCAGTCGGTCCTGCGGTGACCCTGGAGGAGCAGGTACCACTCTGCACACCCCACAGACGAGCAGGCCGGGGCTGCAGGGAGAGGGAGCTTCCGTCCCTGCCTTCCTGCCAGCGTTCCTTCCTATGTTGGCGTCCCCACCCTGCGAGGTCCCAGGACGCATCTTCCCTCAGGAGCTCCTCTGCCTCGCGGGCTCATGCGAGCGAGACCTCTCAGCCTGACTGGTCCATTCCGTGACTAATCTCAGAGCCCGTGGGCCTGGGCCACCAGGCCCCTCCTTTGTCTGCAAACTCAGAGGGTCTGAGACACGCCCAGCTCAGCACCAGCTCCAGACCCTATGGGACAGCGCAAGGTCGGCCACATGATGGAGCACCACATGGCCACAGGACATGGTGGGAGGTGCGGAAGGTGGAAAGAGGCACAAAGACGCTTTCCAAGTGCCCAAAGGAGAGAGACGGAATCAGGACAGTTTGCCTCCAGTGCTGCTGACACCTGCCATGCACGTCAGCATCTTCATCTGATGTCCTCAGGGGAGCCGGCTGCACCTCACACCATCCACTCTGCAAAGCAAAGCAGCCCTGGGAACAGCCCTGGAAAAAGCCCCTTCCCAGCTCCGGGACCCCCGCTCACAGCCAGGGCCGGCCAGTTCCACAGCTACCCGGACGTAGATACAGCACACAGGCACTCATGGGTTCCTAAGATCAGCCTGGTGACCTCATCGGCTCAGCTCTTGCCACACAGACATACACAGGCCATCTGGAGCTGCACGGGACGCTGAAACCACCACTGAGGGCAGGCGAGAGCCAAATCAAGAACCAAGGGGGCCGGCACAGGAAACAGGCCCCAGCACATGTGGGAGAAGGAACACCAGGGAGGCTCAGAGAGAAATCCAGTGACACACCACGTGGACTCCCTCCAATGGCCTCTAATGGCGCAGACCACGAGGGTGGACGACAGCCAGGACACCTCCGCCTGGCCCACCTCACTCGCTGAGCCCCCCGCCCCGCCTCACTCGCTGAGCCCCCCCGCCCCGCCTCACTCGCTGAGCCCCCCCGCCCCGCCTCACTCTCTGAGCCCCCCCGCCCCGCCTCACTCGCTGAGCTCCCCCCCGCCTCACTCGCTGAGCCCCCCCGCCCCGCCTCACTCGCTGAGCCCCCCCCGCCTCACTCGCTGAGCCCCCCGCCCCGCCTCACTCGCTGAGCTCCCCCCCCCGCCTCACTCGCTGAGCTCCCCCCCCGCCTCACTCGCTGAGCCCCCCCGCCCCGCCTCACTCGCTGAGCCCCCCGCCCCGCCTCACTCGCTGAGCCCCCCCGCCCCGCCTCACTCGCTGAGCCCCCCCCGCCTCACTCGCTGAGCCCCCCGCCCCGCCTCACTCGCTGAGCTCCCCCCCCCGCCTCACTCGCTGAGCTCCCCCCCCCGCCTCACTCGCTGAGCCCCCCCGCCCCGCCTCACTCGCTGAGCCCCCCGCCCCGCCTCACTCGCTGAGCTCCCCCCCCGCCTCACTCGCTGAGCCCCCCCCGCCCCGCCTCACTCGCTGAGCCCCCCCCGCCCCCCCCGCCCCGCCTCACTCGCTGAGCCCCCCCGCCCCCCCCCCGCCCCGCCTCACTCGCTGAGCTCCCCCCCCGCCTCACTCGCTGAGCCCCCCGCCCCGCCTCACTCGCTGAGCTCCCCCGCCGCCTCACTCGCTGAGCCCCCCGCCCTCCCACCGGCAGCCCTGGGCGGGCGCCTTTGACTTCAAGGGTCCGGAGTGGGGGCTCTGTCCTCTCCTCTGACGACCGCTGCGTGGCTCTTGCATAACCTCCCCTTTCCCCCACAACACGAACCTCAGTTTTGAGTCTCACAGGAATAAAGCCACATGAAAGCAAAAACTTCTTAAAACTGAGTTGGGCAATATATTTCAGTGAAAAGGGATAAATCTTCAGACTCCAAGACGCCTTCAGCTGGACAGGAGGGTCAGTTTTGAAGTCTGAAGTTTTAAATACTTGCAATGTCACTGTGTCTTCACATTTTTATGAGCTGAAACTGGGACGGGAGAAGTCACATATTTACGTGGATAAAAATCTTGTAACTGGCACATGATTACAAGTCTTTAATTTTAGAAGTACTTCACTTAATTTTTTAATAGGTAACACAGAAACAGAACAAAATCCACAACATTCAAAAGGATTTAAAATCCCTTCGAGAAGGGATCCCTGCCCCTGCCACCTCATTCCCGACGTGGGGTCACTTCTGTCACCAGCCCCCAACCTTTCCTTCTAGAAGCCAGCCACATTCAACAATGGGGACCGTGGACATTTGAAGCATGCGTGTTCGTATCTCCAGATGCTGACCTGAGAGAATGCCTGATCTAAAAGCCACGGCGTCTACTTAAATTTCTCTGATGTGCCTAATCCACAGGGTTGTCCCCATCTATTTGAGTCACACCGAAAAGTTTACCGAACACTCTGGGCCTCCCTTTCTCACTTGGGCAAAGGCGGCTGCCTTCTCACCACGAGAGGCCGGAAGGGTCACTTTCTTCTGCTGCATCTGTGCTGGCCAGGCCCGTTCAGAAAGGAGGAGCCAGGGGTCTGGAGGGCATCAGACGGGGGACCAGCTGCAGAGGGACCAGAAAAAGGGGAAACAGCCACAGGACACAACTGAGCAAGAGCTGCCCGAGACAGGGAATGCGGCTGAAATGCGCGCGCCTCCCTCTGACCCCACCTGTGTCCCAGCCAGGGCCACGAGGAAAAAACAAAGGCCATACAGATCCCAAAGGAAGAAATAAAAGCCTTTATTCATAGAATGTACAAAAAAAAATCTACAGGCAAAGCTAATAGAACTAATTGGTGTGTTCAGCAAGAACAGAGAACACAAAGTCAGTGTGGAGACGTCGACTGCGTTTGTACATACAAGCAATGACCATGAAAATTACACAAAAACAGCACCTTTCACAAAATTATGCTTTTAGGTTTGTGCTTTTGGTGGACTACCTCAGAAATCTTTAACCACTCCACTAAACACATAAAACACAGGGAAATAAATGTTTTTAAATGTGCAAAATGTGTAGGCTGAAAACACATCACAAAACACTGATGAGAGAAATTGGAAAGACCCAAGCGTGTAAAGATATACCATGTCCATGGATTTGAAGACTCAGTTTTGTTAAGATATTAATTCTCCCCAAATTAATCTATAGATCAATGTAATCCCAGTCAAAATTCCTGTGGGACTATTTTGGAAATTGAGAAGCTCATTCAAAAGTATATATGGCAATTCAAAGCATCTAGAATAGAAAAACAAGTTTAAGAACAAATTTGATGATCTTACACTACAATGTAAGACCTGCTATGAAGCTATAGTGATCAAGACTGCGTGGTATTGGCATGAGGACAGGTGGATCAATATGACACACAGCAGGCGAGCCCCAAATTGGGGCTTAGCCTCAGAGGGTCTGTAGCTTCACTCAGGAAAGAATTCGAGAATGAGGTGGTGGTGGAAGAAAACAGTTTTATGGAGGCGGCAGTGGCAGCTCTGAAACTGCTCCTGCACAGCAGGACTCCCCACGGGCGGGGTGTTGACAGTCTCAGCCGTTCCTGCAGAGAAGGGTTCCCCATAGGCAGGGTGTTGAGAGTGGCACCTCCGGGCACTGCTGCAGTCTTATTTATCCTCACTTTTAACTATATGTCAATTAAAAGATTATGCAGACATTTCTAGAAAAAGGGTGGTAATTTCCGAGTCACGGGGTTGTTCCTATGGAAAGGGGTGGTAACCTCCAGGCGTTGCCATGGCAATGGTAAGGTGACATGGTACACTGGCAGGCGTGTCCGATGGAAAGCTGCTTCCACCCATCCCTGTCTCAGCTAGTCCTCAATTTGGTTCGGTGTCCGAGCCCTGCCTTCAGAGTCCAGTCCCGCCTCCTACCTCAGATGGAAGAGAATACAGAGGCCACAAACAGACCCACACAATGCAGCCAACTAAGCTGTAAATGTGCCAAAGTCATCAACGGAGGAAGGGTCGTCTTTCAGCCAAGGGTGCCGGAACAAAGGGATGTCTACATGGAAAAAACAGAATCCCGACCCTTTTCTTTGTGCTATAAGTGAAAATTAGCTTGAAACAGATCATGGAACTAAATGTGAACGCTGAAAGCACATGCTTTCCAGGAGAAAACCGCCACAACCGTGGAATAGGCAAGACTTTCTTAGACATGACACCACAGGTACAAATCATACAAGAAAAAAATGTGATAAACTGGACCATCGAAATTAAAAACTTCTGTTCTTCAAAGCCAATGGTAAGAAAATGAAATACAAGCCACAAACTGGAAGAAAATATTTGCAAAGCACACTTGTGATAGACTCGTATCCAGAATATACAGGGAACTTTAAAAAGTAACAAGAAAACAACCCAATTAAAAGGGCAAAAGATTTGAACAATGTACTAAAGAAGGAATGGAGCTGTCACTAAGCCCAAGAAAAGGTCCTCGACGCCACTCTTCACGGACACGCAATAAAAGCCACAGTGAGACAGTACACACCTATGGGAGTGCAAACGGTAACTAGAGAATAAAAACTCACAGTCCTAAGGGCCGGGCAGGATGCGAAATACCTGCTGCTCTCACCCGCTGCTGGAGAGAAGGCAGACTGGGTGACCACTTGGAGACACGGTTGGGTAGTTTTAATGAAAGTAAACACACACCCTACAGTGACCCAGCAACCTCGCTCCCACGCATTTATCTCAGAGTAAGAAACAGAAACATTGTCCACACAAAGACCTATCCGAGAATGTTTACGGTGACTTTATTCATAATTCCTGAGGATTAGACACAATCCAGAGGGTGGATGAGGCGGCTGAGCTGTGTCTGTATGATGGAAACCCACGGGCAGTGGAAGGGGGCGGCCTGGCTCACAGCCGCACAGCGCGGGACCAGCGCAGTGGCAGAGGGCACGGCCCCTCCAGGGTTTGAGTCACGTGGCCTCCTGGAAAAGGCAACTGTGGGAACAGGCCTCAGAGCAGTGGCTGCCCGGGGCTGTGGGCCAGGGTAGGAAATCCACCCCAAAGGGGCCCAAAGGAGTGTTCCGGGCTGTGGGAACATATCTTAGCTGTGCTGCTGTCTACACAACTGCATACACTGGTGAAGGCTACACCTAACAGTGAACTTTACCATATGTCAGTTGCAGACCACCTGATTTATACACAAAGAACGGAGGTCTCGGCCGGGCGCGGTGGCTCACGCCTGTAATCCCAGCACTTTGGGAGGCCGAGGTGGGCGGATCACGAGGTCAGGAGATAGAGACCACCTTGGCTAACACGGTGAAACCCCGTCTCTACTGAAAATACAAAAAATTAGCCGGGCGTGGTGGCGGGCGCCTGTAGTCCCAGCTACTCGGGAAGCTGAGGCAGGAGAATGGCGTGAACCCGGGAGGTGGAGGTTGCAGTGAGCCGAGATCGCGCCACTGCCCTCCAGCCTGGGCGACAGAAAGAGACTCCGTCTCAAAAAAAAAAAAAAAGAAGAAGAAAAGAATGGAGGTCTCACTGCACCCCCACCCCATTGGGAAGCCTCAGAGAGTCTCTAGGGGCTGGAGGGGCAAATGGAGGGGGACATGGTGCTACCAGAGCCGGGGCCCAGAGGAAGGTGGAGGCCTAGCGGGAAAAGGAGGGAGGCGCCAGGATCGGGGGCGGAGACCCCAATGCTCCTGACAGCACCGAGCCGGGCCTCGCGCATTTCCGTGGTTCCCGCATCCCAGCTGCGGGGAGCCATAGTTTCCGGTCTGTGCTCTGTGAGGGCAGCGCCCGGCAGCCGAGTCCAGGCAGAGGCCGCCTCCCTGCGCCTGGAATCCCGAAGGAGCCTGCGCCCCGTGTGTCCCGCAGGTCACGGCCCTGCAGCTGGGAGCCCGGCTTGACTGACAGTTCCCGCCGGCAGCAGCGCTCTGTGGGCCATGGACCCAGGGACAGAGGAGGCTACGGTCACGCCGCCCGGGACCCGCCGACACTGGACACTTCTCCTGCTCCTGCTGTGGCGGGAGCTGACTGCAGCCGGTGGAGGTGCCGGGGTGGGCTGGGGAGGGCTGAGGGCAGGCCTTTATTTCCCCAAGTCTCACTTGCCGGGGCGCCGTATCCCGGCACGGCTTCAGCTGCCTTTCTCGGTTTCTGTCGCCACCGCCCTCCCCCTCCAGGCTGAAGATGCCCTCCCGTCCCCAACCCACACCCCCGACCCCATAGGAATGCACCCCCACTTCCTTCTGGCACCTGCCAGTGCACCTCTCACTCCTGGACCTGAACTTGCAACTGAGCACAGCTGTGGCTGCCCCAAGGGAAACTTGCTGGCAGGTGGGGTTTCCTCAGGGCGTGGGCGGCTGCTAGAAACGAGAACCAGGAGAACCACGCAGCCAGGAAGCCAGTGGCCACCGCGCACTTCCACCCAGAAACGCATTCCCCAGAACCTGGTGTTTCATGCCCGGTAACAACATAATTACCATCATAAAGATAAATCGTTACCGGAGATCCAGACAGCCACCCATTTTCATAGCTGCGAAAGCCACAGTGAAACATCTAAGTCCAGTCACCATAATCGTAAAGCCACCAAGAACTACTAGCAGACGACGTCAACAGAATGATTAATAAACATCTTATTTGGTTATTTTCAGAGCATATAACTCCAGAACTAACTTGATCAGCTTCTCTTACTAAAATGTGCAAAAATTTTTTAAATTTCTTTTTCCTTAGGGTTGTCGCTCAAAAAATGTCTCATACACCTTCGAGAACGAATCAAGTCCCTGTGGATTCTCGAGTATAAACGGAGCTGGTGACGAGGCCTGACACACGGTCACACCTCAATTCGCGCGTGGCGCCCGGCACAGGCTGAGCCCCGCCAGATACACCATTAGCCTCCGCTGAATAATCTGGATTCCATGCCTCCCTTTCTTCTGAGAACACCCTTGGAGGCCCCTGGCAGGGGCTGAGAACACAGGAGCGAGACACAGGCCTGCCCTGCAGGACCATGGGCTCCAGGAAGCTCTGTCCAGTGGACACAGCACAACAGGCAAGAGAACCACAACCAACGAGTGGGGCAGGGGAGGCAGGTCACGGAGGGCAGCCCACCCATGCCGCGGGGTCGGAGGCCATCTCCTGCAGCAGGCCCCAGTCCCAGAGGTGGGCATGGCAGGACATGGGGATGGAGAAGGAGGTGCCTCAGGAGTGGGGTGCACAGCGGCTGAGCCCGGAGGCAGGAGGGAGAACTGCCAGCCACTAGCCCTGGAGCCGATGCCCTGGTCAGAGGGAGAGAGGAAGAGGGAACCCTTCCGCAGCACCCAGCTTGAACGCGACATAAAGCTATGGGCCTGAACCTGAGGGCCTCCCAGGCAGACACTGAGCAAGGGGGTGCAGGGGTCACGCTGGACCCTCAAGACCATCTCACCGACAAGGCTCCATGAAGCCCAGCACAGCAAGACCCTGAAGGGGGGTCAGGTGCCCGCTGCACTCAGACACCTTCTGCAGCCGCATTTCAGGGCCAGGGTGTCCGCTGCGGAAGCACCCAGCACAGTGTTCCCGCTCAAAATGAAGTCAAATGTCAATTATCTGAGATCCATGTGACCCATTCCATGTATTTTCTAAACAAACTCTGGAGACTTCTATGAAAAACACAGCAGTTTCTAAGAATAATCACTTGGGTACAGTGAACAACAGTCCCAAAAATGTCCGGGTCCCGACCCCTGCAATGGTGAGGGGGCACTGGCCTTATCAATGCCAGGTGAGGCCCTGCCCGGCCCCGAGGGCCTCTCACCCAGCCAAGCCCCTCTCAATGCCAGGCAGAGAGCAAGACTGGTCAGGATAGGCATCTCATCTCTGTCAGGGGACTTGCTGTGGAGGCCCGGGACATGGCAGAGTGCAGACAGCCTACGCGTTACCTACTAGCCCGTTTCTCTCATGCCCCCTCTCTCTCTCAACGTCGTGCTGACACACACTAGCTGCCGGCCGCCCAGTGGGGACAGGCTGGGTTTTAGGACACTCAAGCTCTGAGGTGGACCTTTGGCCGTGCCTCTCACTTCTGTGTGCCAAGCACTGGGAATGGATCAGATCACAGATCCTGGTCCATGGCTCACAAACAGAGGAACAGGGACGATGAAGAAAGCCCACAGCTGAGGGACACAGGTGAGCGCTGGGGAAAGGGGGCAGCCGGCGTGGGGTGGAGCGGCCGTGACACGGTGTGAGGAGCCAGTGTGAGCAGCGAGCGTCAGATGGACCGGGACCCCGCCCACGCACAGCACCCTCGTGGCCTCGCTGGCCTCCTGCACCCCCGGGCCCTCAGGCTGCCTGGGGCCAAGCTGGGGGTCCCCCTGGGGGACTCCTCCTCTCGCCCTGTCCCACTCAGCATCCCGGCAGCCATGAAGACGAGGAGCCTGCACCACCTGGGGTCTGGGTTCAGGCTGTGGCAGCCAGTACACACTGGCTCCCCGGCCGCCCGTCCTGGGCGTGAGCTCAGGCGCCACAGGACCCCTCCTCCCTTCCTGGCTCTCCCAGCGTCACGGCGGGAATTAGCCTGATCCCTCAGCCTCCCACGCCTGCTGCGTGAGGTCTGCTCCTGACGGGGTCCTCTGGCTGCATTTAGGAACAAGGAGCTCCCCGAGTAACCTGAAGTCCACTCTGCCCAGAGGCCCCACAACTTACAGGATGCCGCCTTCCTGTGATACCAGGCAGGGCTGCCCATGAGCTTTCTCCAAGAGCAGCCCCACCCCTGCTCCAAACACACCATCTCCTGGAAGTAACAGTATTGCCCCAAAAACCAGGGGGAAACTGAGGCAACATGCCCCCACCCCCACCCGCCCTTCCTGTGCCCACACTGTGGGGACTAAAGTTGGGACAGGGACAGCCAAGACGTGGTGAGGAGGGAGGCCCCACATCCATGCAAAGGTCCCCCCACAGATGCCCCGGGGAACAGCCCTGGGAAGTTGTCTGAAGAGGGCCAGAGATGCTGTGCTCTTGCCTTGAGGGGCCATGGAAGCCTCGACTGGCAGTGCTCACTGACCTGAGCCTGGTGTGATGCTCTAGCAGGGACCACAGATGCCAGGCCAGATCCCAAGAGCAGATCAGGAGGAACACCCAGGGCTGCTGTGACCTCAAGCCCTGCAGCGACCCCTCAGCACCATCCAGCCAGGCTCTGGACTGAAATGCTAATACTCGCCTGGTACAGAACAGGCAGAAAAGGGGAAGTAAATGCTCATTCATCACCTACCTATGATGGAATCCCTCCGGAAAACGTCTCTATCGAAAATGTAGAAGGACAGGTGACGAAAGCTCCGAGGAATTTCACAGTAAAAGTCTTCTCCGTAAAACGGGCTAGTGAGACAAAGAAAAGCGCCAGTTAGAACACAGGCCACGCTTGCGCCTCACCCCCGGGGCACACACGTGTGGTCTTAGTTTTAAACATGCCATAAGAATGCCCTGCACTGTGTGGCACGCATGAGACATGAACCTGCAGCTCCCTGTGGGGTGAAGGGCCTCGTAGCTGCTCCCCGGCCTCCACCTCGAGCCTTTGCACTGCACAGATGAACTTCTGTACTGGGCTGCCTGGCGGCCCGGAAGCTGAGACCTCCACAGAGACCACGGCCACTGCCAGAATGACTTCCATGCTACGTGCTCAGGTCTAGGTGCAGCCTCAGGGCCATCGTGATGTTTCGAAGGTACCTGGTTTGGGGCAGGCAGTGGCTCCCTTTATGCATTAAACATAAAACACAGCACTCCAGTGCCTTGGACCGCTCCTTTTATCCAGAGATCCAGTACAAAGTCCTGACTGCCCAGCCGCCCTCACTCCTCGGGGAGAGACCCCCGCTGCTGACTGTACTTAGAGTCCTCGCTCCTGGGGGAGAGGCCCCCGCTGCTGACTGTGCTTAGAGTCCTCGCTCCTGGGGGAGAGATCCCCGCTGCTGACTGTGCTTAGAGTCCTGGCTCCTGGGGGAGAGACCCCCGCTGCTGACTGTACTTAGAGTCCTCGCTCCTGGGGGAGAAATCCCCACTGCTGACTGTGCGTAGAGTCCTCGCTCCTGGGGGAGAGACCCCCGCTGCTGACTGTGCTTAGAGTCCTGGCTCCTGGGGGAGAGACCCCCGCTGCTGACTGTACTTAGAGTCCTCGCTCCTGGGGGAGAAATCGCCACTGCTGACTGTGCGTAGAGTCCTCGCTCCTGGGGGAGAGACCCCCGCTGCTGACTGTGCTTAGAGTCCTGGCTCCTGGGGAAGAGACCCCCACTGCTGACTGTGCTTAGAGTCCTCGCTCCTGGGGGAGAGGCCCCCGCCGCTGACTGTACTTAAAGTCCTTGCTCCCGGAGGAGAGGCCCCTGCTGCTGACTGCCCAGCCGCCCTAGCTCCTGGGGGAGAGGACCCCGCTGCTGACTGTGCTTACAGAGTGCATGGCTCAGGCCGCCCATGCGTGAGTCACCAGGAGATGCAGCCGCCCCACAGAGGAGACTTGAAATAACCACAACCCCAATAAAGAAGCAGAAGCCAGTGGGCTTTGCCATTCAGCAAACCTTCCTGTTGTCCTGGGCTGGCACAGGTGGGGTTAGTTTCCTCCCCACGCCGGACCTGTTGGCGATTACTGCGGTGCACGCACAGCTACCACCAACTCAGAACTTAAAACAAGCCCACTTTCATGCACATTGATGCTAAGGTCCAAAATAGGAAAGATGTAAGTTATTCAAGGAGGAACCATTCTGATAGAAAGCAAAGGAAGGTCAACGTGCTGGGCCAGGGGGCGTCCACACAGTCACCAACGGCACAGGCCCCACCCCAGCCACACACAGAAATGAGCTCAGACCCCGCACCCATCTGTAAGGGTGTAAGGGTTGGAGCTACTAGCCTCTCAGAAGAAAATGAGAATGAACCTGCACCCTAAAGTCAGGTAAAGATGTCTTAGATCTGTCACCAAAAGCACAAGTGCCAAAAGAAAAATAAATGGAAAATCAAACTTCATCAAAATTAAAAACATTAAAAACTTTTTTGCATTAAAAGCATTATTTAAAAAGTGAAAAGGGCCAGTGCTGTGGCTCACGCCTGTAATCCCAACACTTTGGGAGGCTGAGACTAACGAATCACCTAAGATCAGGAGTTCGAGACCAGCCTGGCCAACATGGCAAATCCCCATCTCTACTAAAAATACAAAAATTAGCAGGGCATGGTGGTGGGCGCCTGTAGTCCCAGCTACTCGGGAGGCTGAGGCAGGAGAATCGCTTGAACCTGGGAGGCAGAGGTTGCAGTGAGCCAAGATTGCACCACTGCACTCCAGCCTGGGTGACAAGAGCAAAACTCAGTCTCAAAAAAATAATAAAAATTAAAAAAATAAAAAGTGAAAAGACAGACTAGAAAAAATATTAGTAAGTCAGTTATCTGATAAAAGACTTATATACAGAATATATAAAGAACTCTTATGACTCAATAAATGATGACAAATAATTCAGTTTAAAAAGGGGCAAAAGATTTGAACACACATATCACCAAAGACAAATGGCCAACAATGTATTAAAAATGCTCCATGTCATTAGCCCTTGAGAAAATGCAAATTAAACCAGGAGATACGGCACAGGCATAAGCCCAAACCTGGGGCGGGCGACTGTTGCTGCCCGGAGCCCAGGTGGGAGGGGCCCAGAGTCCAGGTGGGAGGGGCCCAGAGTCCAGGTGGGAGGGGTCCAGAGTCCAGGCCCCACCCCTTCTCCCTGCAGCGGCCTTAATGACAGGCATTTCATTTGGATTTCACTGATTTCAGTATTTTTATAACTGGGTCAGAGACTGGGTAACATTTACTCAGAAAACCATTTTTTGTCATAAAACAATCTTCCAAGGGAAGCCTAAAATGCCTAGGTTGTTTTAAGCATTTTGGAAACACAGCAGTATCCATTTACACACAAAAGAAACATCACTTTATCTTTCAATGAAGGCAGAATGCTCAGGGACTTCCACCGACTCCATTGTAGCAGCATCCTGGTTAATGAAGGCCCATTAGAAAGTCACGTTTCCTTTAAACACATTCTCGCGTTGGTCGTTGACGCAGCGAGCCATCCTCTGATCTCCTGCGTCTGCGTGGGCACCGCCGAGATCTGATGTCAGGGACCCCCAGGGGTGTGTGTGCCCACAGGCATGTGTGTGTGGGTGTGTGCACGTGTGTGCCCATGGGTGTGTGCACGTGTGTGCCCATGGGTGCGTGTGCCCACAGGCATGTGTGTGGGTGTGTGCATGCATGTGCCTGTACGTGTGTGCCCACAGGCACGTGTTTGTGTGTGCATGTGTGTGCCCGTATGTGTGTCCCCACAGGCAGGTGTGCATGTTCATGTGCATGTGTGTGCCCACAGGCACGTGTGCATGGGTGTGTGCATGCATGTGCCATGCATGTGCCCATACATGTGTGCTCACAGGCATGTGTGCATGTTCATGCGTGCATGCATGTGCCCTGGAGCACTTGGGTGCACATGTACACAAAGGCACCACAGATGCGCCCCACACAATGCGCTGCTTTCATAACAAGGCGCAGGGGTCGTGACCCTGCCTCCACCCTGTGTAAAGTCACAGCTGCAGGATCTCGGGGCAGGACGCACACTCCCCAGGCAGCGCCCTGTGGCCTCCCTGGAGAAGCTTGGTGCTCTGCGGACAGCGTCCCCACTGGCAGGAAAAACCACTATCAACCTCGAAGCCAAAAGGGACACCAGACGTGCATTTTAATATTCACGACAAGGCCTCAGGTGACGAGCTACTCACAGGACAAGCGTTAACAATTAATAGTAATCCACAAAACATTTGGGATTTTTACAACGACAAAACGGCCTCTTCTGTACGTCCTAGAGCAACTTTCAGGGCCACTGAGGCCTAAGTGATGGCAGGAAGCCGTGGTGTTTGAATGTGTGAAAGCAGCCTGGACTTGGCGTTTCCAGCCCCGTTCGCTCCCGGCAGAGCCCCAAGAACCAAGGGCTGGAGGCTTCACTTCCTGCTCCAGAGTGGCAGGTGCCCAGGCTGTCCTGGCTGCGGTGCATCTCACACAAGAAGCCCAGCGGGAGCACGCACAGCTCTGGGCCTTGCGGCAAATGCGTAACCAAAAGGCGTAAATCAAGCTTCGTTCACCATGGAGGAACCTCAGAACCACCGGCACCGATAGCCAAGCTGCCAGAGAATGGAACGGACGCCCTCCATTGGCACAAACTCCAGCAGCCGGCTTGTCAGGAAGCTGCAGCAGCTTCAGAGCAACCCAGGCCTCGGGGTTCACCTGGCGCGTCACCGTTTCCCGAGAGCCCCCCGCCCCCGCACAGGCACTGAGGACCCCACCACATGGGCCTGTGCCTGCCTGGCAGGAAGGCAGGGAGGAGGAAGTGGGTCGGGCTGGATTGCATGTCTGATGTGTGTCCGATGAATGTCCAGTGCGTGTCCAATGCGTGTCTGGTGAGTGGTGAGTGTCTGGTGTGTGTCTGATGTGTGTCTGATGCATATTTGGTGCGTGTCCGGTGCGTGGTGAGGGGCGGTGAGATGAGGATGCCAGCGCTAAGCACACCCCACAAACGGGCGCCGCGCACCTGGCATTTAACCCTGCACACTTCCTCACCACCCTGATGCACAGGGTGGGAAACCGAGGCACTCCAACATCTGATGAAACGAAACTAACCCCAGGGCTTGGGCAGCAGGGCTGAGAGTGCGGCGTCCCTGGGCGCTGCCCGGTAGCGGGGTGTTCAGTTGCTCTGCCAAAGGCTCTGCACAAGTGGCTCCTCTCTCTGTAACTCTGCTTGGCAGTGGGGGGCTCGGTGGGGGGAGGCCCGTGCTGGCTGGGCACCTGGGAGGGTCCCGTGAGGCTTCTGGTGGTGCTGACAGCTGTCCGTGGAAATTGAGGTGCTTAAAATTCATAAATAAACCAGAAATCCATTCAATAAAAAGAGATAAAAATAGCAGAAAGAGGAAGCTACAAGAAAACATACGAACTCCATAAAATTATCACCACAGACTGGACGTGCCCCTTTCTAAATGTAAAAGCGGTTTATAGCAACACAGCATGGCCCTGCTGCACTACCCCTGGGGAGCAAGACCTCCTCCAGCCTCCACCCAGGAATTTCTCCAGCAATGGCTTTAGAACCTTGCTCCTGAATCGCAGCAGGGGAGGCAGCGCTTTGGGGCCCTCTGTCAGGCTGCCCCCCCTGCTAAGAGGAGCTGTTGTCCTTGGGAACCACGGGTCCCCCCTCCTGAAGAAGGGGAACGTCACACTCACAGTTCCATTTTACACATTTGCAGCTGAGAACCCTGGAGCCAGAACAGGCTCCAGCACAGGCGATGGGTGAGTGTTTTGCATGTCTGATGTCGTTTATTCTAGTGGTTCCAATTGCCTATTTTAATGTTTTTCTTCTTATTTCATATAACTTTTTAAACTTAAAGTAATAAAGTTATTACTAACTTTGTTTCCTGCGGGTCACCTCAAGTCTTTCAGGAAACCAGGCAGGACATCTGCAGGCGGCCGGCCAGCCTTATCAACGGAGCTCTGAGCCACCAACCACTGTGACCAAGCTTCATTCCCACGAGCTGGACGAGCAGAAGGCATTGCAGGGCAGTGGGGTCCGGAGAGGCGGCCGTGCTACAGGCCTTGCACTCATTTTAATGAAGGCTCTGCAGGATTTCAAGGAAAGCTGGAGCCAGTCTCTGTGCCAGAATAGAGGGTTCGTTCAGCTTCTTAGACCGATGATTTATTTAGGGAATAAGAAGGGCGATTCCAGGGACAGTGGAGGCCCCCACAGGAAGGAAACCTCTCCCCACAATGACTGTGCACAGAGCCAGCCTGACACCCAAGGCCACGATGCCATAGCCAGGGAGCCCTGAAGAAACTCCTGGAAGAATGTAAAACCCCCAGCTCAAGGAGGAGAGTGGAGGCGGTTCCCCACCTTCTGGGGGCAGTTAACCTCTGAGAATGAACCCACAGCTAAAACCCATAAAACCTCCGCCAACCACACCCAGACCTGGAAGGGGCACCTCTGGCCAGGGCGCTCAGCACGAGGGGACCCAGAACAATGGCTTCCCTGGGGTGCGGGCTCGGCCTGCAGGATGGAGGCTGGAGAGCTGCCATCCTAGCGCACACTGGGTAGATGCAGGTGTTTCCAATGTGCTGAAGAGGGCAGGGCCTGGCTGAGGCCCTGGGAGGTCGGAGTCCCGGAGGTGGGTGGGGGTGGTGAGTTCCCAGGTCACTTCCCCAGGTGTGCGTTTTCCTCACTGTCCTGTCCTATTCATTCATTTTAGCACGGAGGCCAGAACCAGCCGAGTGAAGCCCCTGCCTGACCACTCAGGGGTGTGAGGACAGGGGCGAGGACCGGGATCATCAGTCAGCTCCTAGAATGGCAGGTTTGTACCTGCAAACGGAGCACCAGAGTGACATCCCCCCAAGACCCCCGAGATGCCATGAGCCCCATGGAGACCACCCACCCGGCAGGGGCCAGCTCCAGGTGCTGCTGCTGCGGCGAGGCCGTCACCACCATCCACGCGTCCAGCAGGAAGAGCGGATTCCTCGGGCGTGAGGCTCACCACTCACGTTGTCTGCACACCTGCCTGACGACCTCTCCCGAACCTGGATTCCCACCACAGAATTCAGCTCCTCGGGTGCTCACCAGCCCGTGACTTGTGGTCACCAGACCGGACGGAAAACACAGAGACCATTTCCTGTTTTGCAGAAAATCCTGTTGGGCCATGCCAGTCCTAGAGCCAAAACACGGTGTCCACTTGAGGGTCCAGACCTGAGGCCACCCTTGCTGGGACAGCATCTCCTTCCCTCTCAGAGCAATGCCACTGATGCCCAGACCAGCAACCATGCCCGTCCTCGCCTGCCCGACAATGCCCTTCCCAGGCCCTGCTCCTCGGAGGACTGGTCATGGGCACCCTGGACTATGCCGACCCGCAGTCCCCAGGGACCAAGTCCTGCTGCTGTGGACACAGGTGACCCTGCCCCTCGCAGGGGAGCTGCTCTTCTCCTGAGCCCAGGAGTGCTCTGAAACTTATATCCCAATGAGAACCAAAATCAGGAGTAGAAGTGGGAGTTGAAGGCCAGAGCCTTTTTCGAAGAACTTCCCTAAGCTCTTTTAAATACCTGCATCCAGGCCAGATGCAGTGGCTCACGCCTGTAATCCCAGCACTTTGGGAGGCCATGCCAGAAGCGCCACTTGAGCCCAGGAGTTAGAGATCAACCTGGGCAACATAGCAAGACCCCAACTCAACAGAAAATTTAAAAATTAGATGGGTTTGGTGGCGCACGTCTGCAGCGAAGCGGAGGATTGCTTGAGCCCGGGGTTCCAGGCTGCAGTGAGCTGTGATCACAGCACTGCACTCCTGCCTGAGTGACAGGGCGAGATCCTGTCTCAAAAAACCAAACACCTGCATCTCCTGCATCTTCAGAGCACAGTCCCGCCTGGAGGAGCCGCCGTCAGGCCCTCCTGCATCTTCACAGCACAGTCCCCAGGTGCAGCTGCTCCCCCCAACCTAATTCAGGCCCTGGTAAGCTTCACAAGGCCAAGGGGACGTTGGTCTCCACCAGGAAGACTATATGGCACGTCTAAATGTAAGAATCTGTGACAGACGTCGCTGAAGCCAATGCGAGGAGGCGCAGGTACCCAGGAGGCACAGGTACCCAGGAGGCACAGGTGCCCACACGGGCCTTGCCGGGGGAAGCACGACTTTGAAGATGGGGACGTCCACGTTTCAACGCTGCCTTGCCAGAGGCCAGTTCCCTCATCTCTCAGCCTCAGGACACCGCCCTCTCCACAGTGCAGCCTGCGGGCACAGAGGGCGCTCGGCTGGGGAAGGGCAGTGGCTCTGCCCCCAAAGCGGCCTCCCCAGGACACACCACTGCCTGGCTTGGAGGTTTCTTCCTCTGCCCTGCACAGTGAGACAAGCACATGGCAGGGCCTCCCACACACCAGGACCAAACAACGGGGAGCACTTTCGATGTCTTTGGCCCCCGCCAGGCGTGGCTCACTGGACCCAGAAACCACAGCGCTCTCTCTCTCCATGACTGTTTCAGCTGCCCATCCCCGTTCTAGACTGTGGGAATAGCAGCCAATGAAGCAAAGTCCTGGCCCCATGGAGCCAGCCAAAGAGCACACAGAACCACGAATGTCCAACGCGGGCAAGGCTGGCGGGGGCAGCACTGTGGCCTCGCTCGGGGGACAGGGAGGCTTACGGACGAGTGAGCGCTTGAACAGCGCTGTGGACGGTGAGGAGACCCGCAGGAGGACAAGGGAACGCATGAATGAGGCCATGGACGGCGCGGAGAGCGCAGGAGGGGTCTAGGCAGAGGGACACCAGGTGCGAAGGCCTCGAGGCAGCAGGGCTTGTGTGTGGTAAAGACGTAGGAGCAAGGAGAAGGCTGACGTGGCCTGGGCAGGGCACGGCAGGACCGGAGCATGCTGGGAGCCGAGGTCAGAGGTCAGGGTGCAGCCGAGGTCACGTGGTGCAGAGCAGACATTTCACCACAGCAGCTGGGAATATGCAGGCCCGTGCAAGACACTGGATGGACGGATGCACGGATGGGGCAGTGGGCATGCAGGGAGGAATCACCTGTCTCAGGTCAGCAGCCAGGAGCTGCCCAGACCTGGCACAGTGGACCAGGAAGGGAAGGTCACCCAAGCCTCCACAGGTGGGGCTTTCTGCAAGCAAGGTGCAGCGGTCAGCCCGAGAGGCCACGGTGCCGAGCAAATCCTGGTTGTCCTCATGGGGACGACAGGAATTCAGTTCTGGCAGAGCCAAGACTGCCGGGAAGCCAGAGGGGCTCCTGCAGGAGGTGACGGGCCTGCGGGGACGCGAAGGGCCAGGACCGGACACGCCCCGTTCCGCTCTGCTTCCAGTGAGGCGAGAGGCGGGCAGGACGCAGCTGGAGCCGCGCACGCCCGGAGCTCAGGCCAGGACTGTCCCCCAGCGCTGCGCTCGCCCGCGGTGGAGCTGCAGTGTTATCAGTGGTCAGCTCAAGTCCAGTGGCTTGAAAGGGAGGCAGAGGCCTCACCTTCCCTGAGGCTCCCTGTGAAGAGCAGGAGGCTGGGCCCTCGGGAAGACCCCAGCCAGGCTCTGCCACCTCCACAGCCGGGAGACGGGGCCTCCAAAGCCGGCAGACGGAGCCCCCACAGCCGGCAGACGGAGCCCCCCACAGCCGGCAGATGGAGCCCCCCACAGCCGGCAGACGGAGCCCCCCACAGCCGGCAGACGGAGCCCCCACAGCCGGCAGATGGAGCCTGGGCACTGCACACAGAGACATTTCTTCTTCCCGAGACCTCGCACAGAAATTACTCACTTAAAAGCACTTAGAGTTTTTTCATTTTTTCAGTGGCAAATATTTCGAGGGAATACCACAGAAATAGCCACACCAAAACCCAACTCAGTTCTCCCTTCTCCACCCCCGCCACGGCCGGGGACGCTGCCTCGATGCGCGGGGCTCCCTCCGCCATGGCCGGGGACGCTGCCTTGATGCGTGGGGCTTGGGTTCTTCAGGTCTCTTGATGTTTTTCCTCTTAGAACCGCAAACTACGGTTGCCTGAAAAGGTTTCTAAAAACCCCAGGCGCCCAGGCCCACCTCAGAGAACGGCTCTTTAAGGGTGATGGGTTATGAAACAGGAGCCCTTTGGGAGGCCAAGGTGGGTGGATCATGAGGTCAAGAGATTGAGAGCATCCTGGCCAACATGGTGAAACGCCGTCTCTACTAAAAATACAAAAAAAAAAAAAATTACTGGGCATGGCGGCAGGCGCCTGTAATCCCAGCTACTCAGGAGGCTGAGGCAGGAGAATCACTTGAACCTGGGAGGCGGAGGTTGCAGTGAACCGAGATCGCACCACTGCACTCCAGCCTGGGCGACAAAGCAAGACTCTGTCTCAAAAAAAAAAAAAAAAGAAAAAGAAAGAAAGAAATACGAGCTTTGAAATCTATACTAGCCATGGAGTCTAACACGATCCTTAAGCGAACTGCTCATTACAAAGCGTGGCAGGCTGCCTTCTCTCCAGAGGGTTTCTGGTGCCCTATCCACGGAGGCGGCAGTGGGATTCAGCCGTCACCTGTGCTTGCGGTGGTAACTCCATCTCAGACTCAACAGGGGACGTGTCTGCACAGAGCACACGGCGCAGGGGTTGGGCGGGGAGGACGGCAAGGTCAAGCCAGCTCAGGGGACATGGTGGGCAGGGGGCTCCAGATCCCACGGTGGGCAGAAAAGGCGGGGGTCGGACTGACGCCGTCCTGGACCATGTCCACGTCTGGGGTCTGCAGGTTCCATCTCCCTTTCCACTGTGCCTAACCTTACATCTATAACCTACATCCAGCAAGACACGATTTTCCACGATGAGTTGATTCGTAATTCCATTTATGTGCAAGTTTTTAGAATTTTCCTGTGGGTTTTTTTTTTACTTACTTATGATTTTAATTTTGTTTGCTTTAAAAAAAACACATGCATAGGAAAGAATGCTTCCTTTCATTTCAATTAAAAACAACAAATTGCTTTTTTTTAAGCAAAAATTCATTGAGGGGGGGCTCGCATTGTACAAAGAAAATCAGACCCACCGGGATGGCTGTGATCAAAGAGACAGTAACAAGGGTAGGGAGGTGGAGATGCGAATCCAAACACACAACTTGTGCAAAGGTCAAGTGGCCACAGCCGCCACGGAAAACAGGCTGGCGGTTCCTCCGACGTTCAACACACAGTCGCCACGGGACACAGTGGTTCCACCCCCAGGTGTGCAGCAATAGACATCACAGCCCACGTCCGCACGCAGACTCGGACACGCGTGCTCACAGCCCACGTCCGCACGCAGACTCAGACACGCGTGCTCACAGCCCACGTCCGCATGCAGACTCGGACACGCGTGCTCACAGCCCACGTCCGCATGCAGACTCGGACACGCGTGCTCACAGCCCACGTTCGCACGCAGACTCAGACATGCGTGCTCACAGCCTCAGTCATGACAGCCAGACAGTGGAAACAAGGCAGGTGGGCCTCGGCTGCTGAGGGAGCAACAGCAGAACGGTGCTCAGCCCTGGAGAGGAAGGACGCCTGGACCCTGGCCCCACACCACAGCATCCACAATGTGGTGCCAACCAACAGGCCACGCACACAGAGGCCATGGGCCAGACGCTTCCACTGACACGAAATGCCCAAGAGAGGCACAGCCGGCGACAGAACGGGGACCCGTGTCTGCCGCCCCAGGAGAGGCTGCAGGCCGGAAACTGGAGGATTACAGGGCGCGAGTGTCGTTTTAGGGAGATGAAAATGTTCTAAAATTGGCTGTGGCAATTGTTGCACAACTCTGCAAATATACTAAAAACCACTGAATTGTACATTTCAAAATGGGTGAATTGTACGGTGCTTGAATTATACCTCAATAAAGCTATTTTTAAAGAAACAAAATTTTAAATACGTAAAAAAATCAGAAAGTGAAATCTGGAATTAACATTCCAGGAAACATCCTCCTGGAGTTTTTTCTCCAAAAATATAAAATAGAATAAAATATATAAATGTTATAGGTTTAAAATATACAAAATATAAATATATTTGTATTACATTTATAACATAAATACAATATTTATAATACAAATATAAGTATATTCATACTATAATGACTCATTATATTATAATACAAATATATTAACAATAATAGTAAATATTTATGTTATAAATATAGAAGATACGAATGGAAATACGGATAAATTTTTTAAATAAAAGTGAGGTTATGTTCCCTGTGACAGAGTCAGCTTTTTCCTTTCACATCAGGCCATGGGCCACTTTCCAAAGAGCTGATAAAACGCTGGGGTCAGACGGCACGTGTGTGCGTGGACAGCAGTGCCAGGTCCCCCTGCCATGTGCACGCTGTGTGGTGGGAGCAGCAGGGGTGAGCACCCTGGGAACGCAGATCTGTGCAGTGGCTGATTGTCCCCGTGGGATAAATTCCTCCAAGGATGTGCACTGTCCTGAGGCCTTTGAAACACAAAGCCACAGAACCCTCCAGGGAGTCTGGACCAGTGTCCACCCCCAGCATACGCCGTCTTATAAATATTTCTACAGTTTGCTAAACCGGTGGCAAAAACCTGCTTAAATTTTAAATGTCTGGCTCATTGGTGAGGTGGAATGTCCATCTTTTTATGAGCAGTTTTAAATCTCATTTTTTCTTGAAATGCTCTGGGCCTGTTTTCTATTAGAATGACCATCTTTTCATGCTCAGGATTTAACCCTCCGGGAACTTCTGAATGTGTGTTGCAACTTAAAAGACATATTATTTCACAACATTTAAGGAGGATCTTTTTTGAACTAAAAAAACCCCCACAAATTTGTTAAATTTGTCACCAGTGGGTGACTATGGACCTGTGATCAGCCAACTCTGAAATGAGCTCCAGCAGATGGACACAGCGTCCCAGGACCTGCAGGAGCAGAGGCTGCGAGGCCAGCCACGTCCACCTCGATCACGTCACCTCGTGGGCAGAATGGCCTACGCCCCATGTCCTCCCAGCCCCACCCAGAACCCACGGTGAGCACCCGGCAGGAAGTGGCCACAGCACCATCACTGGAGGCCACGCGGAGTCTGAGGACAGCAGCTTTCCCCCCTATGCTGTTGTGGGGACTCCAGGCTCAGCCTGAGGACAGGGTCAGTTCCCTCCACACAGCACCAACACTCCCAGGTGCAAAGCCCAGGCCCACGGACAGCCCCCCGCTGTCCGTGGGTCTCATGGTGGGGGCACCCATTTTCTTTCATCAGCAGGAAGGTTTGTGCTTTCTCCTTCCTGGGCAGCAGAGTTTGAAGCGTATTCCAAAAGAAAAATGAAACCGGCTGAACGCTAGGGCATTCCTCCCATCCCCCATCCTGTTCGGTGGCCTGTGCCGGACAATCTCTTCTTTCTGATGGACTCAAAGGGGCCACACAGCCACCAGGTGCCCCCCTTCCCATCAGCAGCTTAACCTCGGGGTATCTCTTGGACAGGCCGGCTTTGTCTCCAGCCGAGGTCAGCAGCAGTCAGATGCGGGATGAATGCCTGGCCCAGGCGGCCCCCACTCACCGCCCGAGGGCTCTGGAACTCTCTTTCCAAATAAAGAAAAAGTGCGGCCTGAGAGGACCAGGCTCGCCTGAAATCCTGCCATGTGGCCTAAGGAAATTAACGCACGCAGCAGCCTCTCCCTCTGAGGCAGAGACCCTGGCAAAGTCTCCTTTCCCTCAGTCATTTCTGGAAGAAGTGCAAATGAAGTTTCACAGAATCAAGCAAACTTTCACGGGGAAAAAAGAAAAAACCTCTTGCAGAAAACAGAGTTGACCTTTAAGTAGTGGCTCTGATGAGGGGAAACCATCTGAACTGAATTCCTCCTCCTCCTGGAGCCTGGAGCAGGGGCTCAGCTGGGACCAGCAGAGAAACCCCCGCCTTCTCCTCCCTGAGTCACTTCCCAGCATCTGCGCAAGGCTGGCGCTGCCCCATCCCGCCTGCGGCTGCTCCCATCACGTGATCATAAGAAAATAAACCTGGTTTCCCAGCTCTGTGCTCTGCCGCAGGCTCGGGGCCCATTTCCCAAACGCTGGGGGGAGCCGGGAGCTGCCAGGGCTGCCCCAGCCTCGGGGTAGAGGGTAAAGGCTGCGTGAAGAGGAACCAAACCCCAAACCGGGTCTGCGAAGCAGCCCTGGGGCTCCCAAGCCAGCCTCTGGGCTGAGCTCTGCGGTCCTGAGTCACTGCCTGACTCATCCTCAGAGGCGCCCCACAGAGAAGGGGCAACTTGGCCAGGGAAAATGCTCCATCTCCGCAAAGGACAGGAGGCAAAACACACCCATCAGAAGCACATGGCCAGTGCAGGGCCACACAGCCCTGGCTCCCACAGACCGCAGGCTGGAGAATGGGGGTCCGCGGTCAGCTCATAGCCCACCCGCCACCCAGCACTGCAGGGTCACACAGCCCTGGCTCCCAGAGGTCAGAGGCTGGAGGGCAGGGGTCCGTGGTCAGCTCACAGCCCACTCACCACCCAGCACGGCAGGTCTCAGCGGAAGCCCCACACACACTGGGTTGCAGCCTCCTGTGGTTCAAGATGGGTGGGGTTATTTTGAAATGTTGGCAAATAGAGCTGTGAGTCTTCAAACGGAACCCAAAGACTCAGTGAGGAAAGCAGGCGGGCTGGGCTGAGACTCACAGCTGCAGCGGCCGTGGTGAGCCACCTCACCTCCCCGAGCCTCAGTCTCCCCATCTGTTCAGGGGCACCGAGGAGCTGCCCCTCGGCTCATGGGCTCTGTGGTCGCCAGGCACGCCACACACCACACGCCACACACCACTGCACGCAGCACCCCGGGACACTGTGGCCTCGGCTCCCGCCTCTCCTGCACATGAGGCTCTTTCCTCTCTCCCACCCCATACCCCCCAAAAAAGAACCACCATCCTTACAAACAAATGAAAATCGGCTGGGTCTTTAGGGCCCGGCCACGATGTGTGACTGCAGCAGTGACTCTCAGGAGGAGGCACAACCAGACACCGGGTCCCCTGCAGCAGCTGAGACACCTCAAACCCCAAACCCTCAGTGAGGCCCTGGTGGGAAAAGGGGCTCTCCAGGGAGGTGCCAGGGGCAGGAGAGAGGGCCAGCGGCCGAGGAGCGGGAGGCGGCCGGGCGAGAGGAGGCCCGGGCAGGAGGGAGAAGGGGGGACCTGGCCTTTGCTCCTCATGGGATCCTCGGTGCGGCCCCCTCGTGACAGGCCCAGCCTCTCCCTGCAGTGGCCCAGCCACAGCTCAGGGCCAGGAGGCTCCTGCAGGCACAGGCGGCCGATGAGTCCCTTCCAGGCCTGGGCCTGGGGCAGCCTGCCATGTGCAGTAGACACTCAGTACTCACAGAATACGAGCAACCTCATGCTCTCCGCCGGCTGAGTTCCTGTGCGGCTGAGAGAACCCCCTGCATCATTCTGACACAGGTGCGCTCCTGTGAGCCAGCATGACACGGAAGGACACACACATGCAGGTGGAGATGGAGATGCTGGGCCGGGCTTGGGGGTCATACAGACAGGACCAGGGGCTCTGACCTGCTGGGAGATTTGGGGCCAGCATTCCAGGACTGAGAGAACAGATCCCTGGCCTGGGGTGCTCTGGGGCTGAGGATGGGCCCCCACCTGGGCTGAGGATGGGCCCAACCTGGGCTGAGGACGGGCCTCCCCACCTGGGCTGAGGACAGGCCCCCCTACCTGGGCTGAGGACGGGCCCCCCAACCTGGGCTGAGGACGGGCCCCCTGACCTGGGCTGAGGACTGGCCCCCTGACCTGGGCTGAGGACAGGCCCCCCAACCTGGGCTGAGGATGGGCCCCCCAGCTGGGGCACTCTGGGGCTGAGGACGGGCCCCCCACCTGGGGCACTCTGGAGCTGAGGATGGGCCCCCACCTGCGGTACTCTGGGGCTGAGGACGGGCCCCCCACCTGGGGCACTTCTGGGGCTGAGGATGGGCCCCCACCTGCGGACACCCCGGGGCTGAGGATGGGCCCCCACCTGGGGTACTCTGGGGCTGAGGATGGGTCCCCTACTCCAGCAGTTCTGGGATATTCTGGGCTTCAAGAAGCCTCCAGTCGTGTCAAGCAGGTTTTTGTTTAAGCTCTAACTTGAGAGTGAAAATAAATGTTCATGGGAAATGTGACTTTTCATGAGTCGCCTAATGTCAAAGTCGGTGTTTCCTAAGTCAGCAACTTGGTTTTTATTAAAAGCATCTGAGAGAATGAACCGTCTGTCTCCCAAACCACCAACTTCCTCCTGCCCCTTTCAGTTTCTAACCCCAAATAACTTCTCCCCTCCCGAAAAACTTTGGAGCTGTGGAGACATTTCTTGGTTTAGTCATTTCTACTACACAAAAGTACTATTTTGGGGGTGATTTACATCTTGCAGTATGAACAGAAAGAAACCTCCCTGTCTTTAACAAACACCCACTGCGTGCACACAGGACGGGACGGGCTTCCACCCAGAAGAGCTCAGAGCCTGCCCCTCAGGGCTGCCAAGTGAGGGTCCCTGGTGATGTCTGATGTCCTCGTCTGCCTGGGAAGACCCAGCTCTCCTCGCTCAGCTCTAGAAGATCTATCTGTTCCTTGACTTGTAACTTCTAATTGTACATAAAACACACAAACAAAAGAACAAGAACTCCCCCATAATTCCACTTCTCAGAAATCACATCACATTGACGTTTTTGTCTGCGTATCCAGATCATTTTGGGGGTGCTCATGATTTTTTAAACAAAAGAACTTTTCCTACAGACACAGCTTTGTAACCTAACGCATAACCAGCTTTCGGAGCAGGAGTTCAGGCCGTGGCACCTCTGGGTGGAGGGGGCACAGAAACCAGCCACGCCTGCAGTTTCTTCCTGTTGTGGCCACGGCCCCTTCTCCCCGAGATGGGCATGCAAATGAACCCTGCAAAGGACGCAGGAGCAACTCCACAGAAAGGGGGGGCCAGGGCTCCGCGTGGGGCAGAGGGCTTTGCCCAGCCTCAACCCCAGTGGCAGGGGGTAGGGTCAGACCCAGAACCCTGAGGCAGAGCCTCCCTGAGCCAGGACTGTCTGCGTGGATGAGGGTTTGGGGAGAGGTCAGCCACGTGGGCGCAGAGGAAGCAGGCAGGGACAGACACCATTCCACGTCCTTACGTGGATGGAAGGAAATGAGGACACGACACTTACTGAATATTCTTGCAAATGACTGGACTAACCCAGCAAGGAGAGATTTAGGTTCTGTTGTGTGTGACGCCAGCTGTTCCTTTCTGCTGGACAAGACGGTGATTTCCACTGCAGCGCAGCCTTGGGGAGCGGGGTCATCTCCTTGTTTTAGGGTCGTGGGTGCCGGCCCAGGGGAGGTCCAGGGCGGGAAGCTGGTTCCCAAGCCCCAGCCCTGCCAACCCAATTTCAGGGAGCCTTTTAGTTTAAGTAAATAAGGAAACAAATAGTGGCTGCCCTTTAAATGATTAAAAATGATTGCTCTAAAAGGTATGGATTGTGAACACAGTTCACTCTCAACCTCAGAAAATTATTTTTCTAGTAGGACAGAAACTGCCAAAATCACTTCCTTGGAGAAGGGCCAAGGCCAGAGAGAAAGGGCTTGTTCTCTGAAATGTGTCCACTTCGATGCGTTCTGAAGTTAAACCTGTGACAGACACTGCCCTTCAACCTCCACCTTGAAAAATACAGAAAAAAGGGAAGACAGAGGACGCTCTCCCCAGACGTCGGCTCAGCACTCGATAAAGAGGCCCCACAGACTCCAGGGCCTCGGACGCGCGGCCCAGGGGCCCGGGCCACACGCAGGGAGGAGGCGTGGGGGACACAGGCCTGAGGTGGAGCTGGGTCGGTGACCTCCTTAGTGGGAAAGAGGGAAGAAGAGAAGCTGAGTTCCGCCTTTCCTTCCTCACACATTCCATTTGCAGCTTCCTGCTAAGTCAGACGGCGATATTGGGCAACAGCAAATCAAACTTGACCCAAGTGCTTCTCCCCAGGGAATGTGAGAAGGGGCTCCTGCCCGGCTGCAGACCCAGCGGCCAGAGAGCACCCTGGGGCCCTTCTGAGCTCAGAGATGCAGACGTGGGCTTTTTTCTTTCCACAGCGACTTTGCCAAATGAACCATCAGACCTTAAAGGTGACACTGACCTTGGAGGAAGCACACGGGGGGCTGGGAGACTCAGGGACCGGGAGACTTGGGGGGCTGGGAGACTCGGGGGCCGGGAGACTCGGGGGACCAGGAGACTCAGGGGGCCAGGAGACACAGGGGCCAGGAGACTCAGGGGTCGGGAGACTCGGGGGTTGGGAGACTTGGGGGTCGGGAGACTGGGGGGTGGGAGACTGGGGGAATGGGAGATTCGGGGACCGGGAGACTCGGGGAGCCGGGAGACTCGGGGAGCCGGGAAACTGAGGGGGCCGGGAAACTGGGGGGCCAGGAGACTCGGGGGGCCAGGAGACTTGGGGGGCTGGGAGGCTCGGGGGCTGGGAGACTTGGGGGGCTGGGAGACTCGGGGGCCGGGAGACTTGGGGGGCCGGGAGACTCGGGGGCTGAGAGACTCAGGGGACCACTTGGGGGGCCAGGAGACTCGGGGGCCGGGAGACTTGGGGGGCCAGGAGACTCAGGGGCCGGGAGACTCAGGGGTCAGGAGACTGGGGGGTGGGAGACTGGGGGGGTGGGAGACTCGGGGACTGGGAGACTCAGGGAGCCGGGAGACTTGGGGGAACCGGGAAACTGGGGGGCCGGGAGACTCGGGGGCCGGGAGACTGGGGGGTGGGAGACTGGGGGGTGGGAGACTTGGGGACTGGGAGACTCGGGGAGCCGGGAGACTTGGGGGGACCGGGAAACTGGGGGGCCAGGAGACTCGGGGGCTGGGAGACTCAGGCGGCCGGGAGACTCGGGGGTTGGGAGACTCGGGGGGCCGGGAGACTTGGGGGCTGGGAGACTGGGGGGTGGGAGACTCGGGGGATGGGAGACTCGGGGACCAGGAGACTTGGGGGACCGGCCCCAAAGTGGGTGCCACCATGGAGCAAGGAGGGGGCGGTGGCCAGGACTAAACTCCCCAGCATGTGGGGCAGCCCTGCCTGACACCTGCCTCTCAGGTGGATGTCGACCAATGACTAATACAGGACTCTGTTAATGCATGTGCACCGATGGAGGGCTTCCGACCACAGATGTAGCGTGGATTCCAGCTGCAAGTTTATGAGAGAGCCAGCTTTTGGGTTCAAGTACCTTTCCTGCCAACTTTTTGTATGGGGTGGGTTGATTTGCGTTTTGCCCTCACACTACAGGGGCGGCCAGCCCGCACAGCCCTCCAAATGGACAGGGCTGCCAGCGTCCACACTAAACGGCGCCAGTGTTACACGTGGGCAGGGCTGCCGGCGTCCACGCTAAACGGCTCCACAGTCTTACACGTGGGCAGGGCTGCCGGCGTCCACGCTAAACGGCGCCACAGTCTTACACGTGGGCAGGGCTGCCGGCGTCCACGCTAAACGGCTCCACAGTCTTACACGTGGGCAGGGCTGCCGGCGTCCACGCTAAACGGCGCCACAGTCTTACACGTGGGCAGGGCTGCCGGCGTCCACGCTAAACGGCGCCACAGTTTTACACGTGGGCAGGGCTGCCGGCGTCCACGCTAAACGGCGCCACAGTTTTACACGTGGGCAGGGCTGCCGGCGTCCACGCTAAACGGCGCCACAGTGTTACACGTGGGCAGGGCTGCCGGCGTCCACGCTAAACGGCGCCACAGTGTTACACGTGGGCAGGGCTGCCGGCGTCCACGCTAAACGGTGCCACAGTTTTACTCTCTTGGAACTGTCCCACATGGGTTTCTCTTTCTTTGCTATCAGTCTTTTGTTGTGTGTGTTTTGGGTTTTTTTGAGACAAGGTCTTGCTCTGTCGCCCAGGCTGAAGTGCAGTGATGTAATCATGGCTCACTGCGGCCTCAACCTCCTGGCCTCAAGCAATCCTCACACCTCAGCCTCCCAAAGTGCTGGGATTACAGGTGTGAGCCACCACACCCGGCCAGAACCATGATTTCTATTTCTAAATTCTTCTGAAATATCTGAAAGACAACAGGCCCCCATTTCTCAACCTCACCTGAAAGAGAGGTTCCCAAACAGATTCTCCTCCCACTGGCTCTGATTCAGCGGGTCTGAGAGGATCCCGGCCTGAGAAAGACTGCCAGTAATTCTCCAGGCCCACAATCCATAGGCCTCTAACAACAGACCATTTAAACACAGAATGGACTTTTATCCAGGGAAGCTCCAAAGGCACTTCTGAAGGGCTCGGTCTCTTCCCATTTTCTTCAGAAGAATGGCTGTGCCCAGTCATCGCCATGGCAACCCCAAGACACTCTCATAAAGCCAGACTGGGCGCCTGACAATGCCCCTCAGCCTGCAGTTCTTTTTGACGAGTTATTTCAAAGAACCCGGAGCGTGCATTAACATAACACAAATGACTCTCACTCCTCGGCCTGGAGGGCAGCTGCGCCAAAGCCTTTTGGAAGCACTGTCAGTGACGGAGTGATATGAGCCCCAGTCTCTCCAGGGCAGGAGACCCCTCACAGTTTTCTAGTAAGTAAACTCACCCAGTCATCAGCATGGGTTGTTCATTCCCACTTGGAAGTAGCCAGATGCAAGGATATAATTCTTTAGCTAAACATGTTCTCAAAATCAAAATAGCTGTTTTGATCAAAGCACACGACCCATGCTTCTGAACTGAACGGTGCAGTCACAGCTGCAAGGATGTCTTCTCTGATCCCCAAGCCGCTCCTTATAACCCGGTGGAGTCACAGCTACACGGACATCTTCTCTGATCCCCAAGCCGCTCCCTTATAACCCAGCCGCCCCATGCTTCCCCCGAGGCCGCAGCACTGAGGCCCTGCCTGGCACACTCTCCCTGGCTTCTCTCTTCCCACCCCCGACATAAATCGCCATGGCTTCCTGTCCCTGTGCATCCCACCCCGTGCCATGTCCTGGTGTTCAACTGCAGTGGTCCTCCGAGTACGGCCTGGCCACTTAGCTGGAGCTTTTCAGAAACACAAGTTCTGGTTGTGCTCTGGACATCCTGGGGTCGGCACCCACATCTTCACACGCTCAAGTTGAGGGGGAAACTTGTTGATTTTAAGAGTTTGTTTTTCTTGGCTGACTCCTCTCTTCCTCAAATCATATCAATAAACACTTTCTAGGCCTCTTACCTCAGTTAACACCCATCTTCTGTATAGCTATTTTAGAAAATTTTACAGGAAGAGAAAAGCTTTCTCAGTATTTCCCCCTCTCGAAATCCTTAATTTGTACTCTTTTGTGGAGTGCGAGCTTCCCGGTTCATCTCTAATTAAAAAGCACTCGTGCGAGTCCACGCAGGGGGACCGCCGCCTACATGCACTTCCTGGACAGCGGGAGCATTTAGCCAACACCAGTTCACATCCACGCACCACCAAGGACAGAAGCTCAGCTGCCTGCACACCAGAGCCCCAGGGAGCATCTCCTCCTCAAACTAAGCAGGAGGAAAATGGGAAGGTGATGTACATGCTCAGGACATAATCTACATACAGAAAAATTCTCTACACGCGGGAAAATAGGATGGTGACGTACACGCTCGGGACACTGTCTACACACAGAAAAATTCTCTACACGCGGGAAAATGGGACAGTGATGTACACGCTCAGGACATTCTCTACACATGGGAAAATGGGACGGTGATATACACACTTGGGACATTGTCTACACATAGAAAAATTCCCTACACGCGGGAAAATGGGACGGTGATGTCCACGCTCGGGACATTGTCTACACACAGAAAAATTCTCTACACGCGGGAAAATGGGACAGTGATGTACACGCTCAGGACATTCTCTACACATGGGAAAATGGGACGGTGATGTACATGCTTGGGACACTGTCTACACACAGAAAAATTCCCTACACGCAGGAAAACGGGACGGTGACGTACACGCTCGGGACATTGTCTACGCACAGAAAAATTCCCTACACGCGGGAAAACGGGACGGTGATGTACACGCTCGGGACATTGTCTACGCACAGAAAAATTCCCTACACATGGGAAAATGGGACGGTGATGTACATGCTTGGGACACTGTCTACACACAGAAAAATTCCCTACACGCGGGAAAATGGGACGGTGACGTACACGCTCGGGACATTGTCTACGCACAGAAAAATTCCCTACACATGGGAAAATGGGACGGTGATGTACATGCTTGGGACACTGTCTACACACAGAAAAATTCCCTACACGCAGGAAAACGGGACGGTGACGTACACGCTCGGGACATTGTCTACGCACAGAAAAATTCCCTACATGCGGGAAAACGGGATGGTGACGTACACGCTCGGGACGTTCTCCACACATGGGAAAATGGGAAGGTGACGTACACCCTTGGGACATTCTCTACACCAAAGAAAACACATCAGTGCCAAGTAAAGCAACAGAAGACATTACCAGAGTGACTTTTCCACAATTTTGGTCCTGAAAACCTCCTCCTGGTCCAGGTTCACCGTGCAGTAGCAATCCCTCATCTTGCTCGGCCCCGGGTAAGAGGGAAGGTTTTTGGCTTCACCTAAAAAGTAAAAGCGACATACATCATCAGCAGCGTAGAAATGTTTGTTCCCTGCTACATCGCAGACACGTTTCCAGCCTTTGCTTGTGTGCATTCACTAGCTCTCTATAAAGCCTTGGTTTTTTTGCCACCACAAGTCAAAATGTGGATGTGCACCCCATGTGTACTGCCGAAAGGCGAGGGACATGCACGCCACCCTCTAATGCAAGTCCCGCAAGCAGGGACCTGCCAGCCTGGGACTCAGGATTGCTGTGTCTTGTTTACCTGCATTAGTCCCTTTATTTTAATTTTTAACATACAATTTTCCATCTCTGACCTGCTCGCGTGCACAGTTCTGTGGCATTAACCACGTTCACCGAGTTGTGCAACCATCACCACCGTCCTCTCTGGAACACTCTCGTCTTCCCAAACGGAGACTCGGTCCCCATTCAACACTCACTCCCATCCCCCTCCTGCTGTCTCCCAGTGGCCCTCACCCCACTTTCTGTCTCTGTGGATCTGACTACTCTGGGGCCTCACGTCGGCGGGATCCACAGGACGTGTCCTTTCAGCCCGGCTCACTCTACTCAGCAAATGTCCTCCAGGGTGGCCCCTGCTGTGGCCGCTGACTGGATTCCCTTCTATTTTAAGGTTGAATAACTTCCATGATGCAAAGGGACCTCGTCTTGCTTATTCATTTATCCACTGAGTCCCTTTTTATTTTGAATTTTATTTTATATTAGGTCAAAGTTGGAGCCAGAATTAAAGGAAAGAGCTCTTTCTTGTGGACGTGAGTTAACTGTAAACTCCAGCTGTTCGAATTGCCAGTAAAGAGAAGCGTCCCAGAGGGACCTAAGCTAGGTCCACCTCTCCCTCCTTCAAGCCCACAGAGACGCCACCTGGACGTGCTTGAAGGAAGTGGGGCCAGTTCCTGGCTGGCCCTGCAGAAAACGCCCGTGATCCCGGACTCCTTGTTTGCCAGGGGTCAGTCTGGAGGTCATAACTGAACCCCAGCTGCGACTTCTCTGCTGGAAGCTCGGAGCATGCCCCAGCGGCAAGCCTAACGGCCCAGTTTACTGGAGAATAGGGAGTGAGCAGGAAGGGATGAGTGACAGCTGTCAATCCAGACAGCGGATGCCCAGTTTAAGTCCATTCTGTAAAAAAAACGCCTCAAACACACTCGCGCCTCCCCAGGGCCTTTTCTGCCTCCGTCATTTGGCTCTAAAGACGCCTGGCAGTGGCGTCTCCACGACGCAGGATGAGAGGACAGATGCAGGCACAGGCACCACGCTGAGACCACACCAAGGCTCCTGCTGGCGCCACTCAGGGCCACATCACCTTATTCTTGTTGAAACAAACAAAATCAAAAACGGGAGCAGAGTAGAAGTTTCTCAGAACCCCACTTCCGCCACTCCGCGCTGAATGTTTCGCGTCAACTCAGCAAGCGCACACGTCATGGCTCACATGGGGCAGTCGGCTCATTTCAAAGATGCCAGTTTGCAAACTGGCATGCCAGCAACTCCAAAGGGCAGAGATAAACTCAGTTTGAAGCTTTTTAAAGACTTTTCATCCACAATATTAACCTGAGGCACTGTGAGAAGGAGCAGAAGCCCCAGGGTCTGGACAACGCCTCCCGTGTCCGCGCCGCGTATCTCTGCGTGTGGAGGCACCGGCAGGACGAAGCCTCCCGTGTCGGCGCCGCGTATCTCTGGGTGTGGAGGCGCCGGCAGGACGAAGCCTCCCGTGTCCGCGCCGCGTATCTCTGCGTGTGGAGGCGCCGGCAGGACGAAGCCTCCCGTGTCCGCACCGCGTATCTCTGCGTGTGGAGGCGCCGGCAGGACGAAGCCTCCCGTGTCCGCACCGCGTATCTCTGCGTGTGGAGGCGCCGGCAGGACGAAGCCGCCCGTGTCGGCGCCGCGTATCTCTGGGTGTGGAGGCGCCGGCAGGACGAAGCCTCCCGTGTCCGCGCCGCGTATCTCTGCGTGTGGAGGCGCCGGCAGGACGAAGCCTCCCGTGTCGGCGCCGCGTATCTCTACGTGTGGAGGCGCCGGCAGGACGAAGCCTCCCGTGTCCGCGCCGCGTATCTCTGCGTGTGGAGGCGCCGGCAGGACGAAGCCTCCCGTGTCGGCGCCGCGTATCTCTGGGTGTGGAGGCGCCGGCAGGACGAAGCCTCCCGTGTCGGCGCCGCGTATCTCTGCGTGTGGAGGCGCCGGCAGGCGTTCCCAGCAGCACCCGCTGCTGCCCACACGGAGCAGCTCTCAGGGTCTCACTGCTTGCGGCCGTTTCCCGCCAGTGCCCCCAACACACAGTCTACCTCTCTGGGCCTCAAAGTCCTGAACTGCAAAAGCAAGAGACACAGCAGCTCTCGAAGGCTCCTCCGGCTCTGAGACGCCTCTAATTCAAAAGGTTCTGGAAATTTTTATTTTGGGAATCATTAAGGAAGCATCAATGATAATCGGTTGGTGGGAAAAAATGAGTATTTCCTGATAGGCACTGGACCCTCAGAACACCTCAACACGGCGACTCTCCCGGGATGCGCCTTCTTCACCCGCTGCATGGGAGAACACAGCTAGGCTGCTACGAGGCACCTGGCTCCAGGCCAGGCCTCAGGTCGGTCATCCCATGTCAGAAGACAGGCTTTCCGAAGGCTCCCACCGATGTGAAGATCCCACACGCAGCACACGCACACACGCAGCGCACACACGCAGCACACGCACGCAGGCAGCACCGCACACACACGCAGCACACGCAGGCAGCACACGCACACACACGCGGCACACGCAGGCAGGGTGTGTGATGAGTTCACAGGCACGAAGGGGAGAACATGGCCGGCGAGCTTCTCCAGAGAGGGAAGGGAGCCTGGGGGATGGCAGTTGAGGTTCCCGGAGCAGACGCAGCCTTCCTGGTGGCCGCGGCTGCCCCTGAATTTGAGGGCAGCCGCAGCACACCCAGCAAGTCGGACAGGGGCCCCTCCAGCCTCCCGGCCCTGTTTTGGAACTGACGGCTTCTGCAGCAGATAGAAGTCCTTACCCTCAAACACAGCTTGACTTTGCTGACTTTCCTTCTGACACCTTTACAGTGTGACCTGACGCTGACCATATTTCCCTTGGGATTTTACTGGGTTTTTTGTTTTTGTCTTTGGGAGTTTTTTGTTTTTGTTTTGTTTTCTGGGATTTCTTTGTTTTTTGCAACAAATGAGTGTAGATATTTAGCTGTAAGTTCCTGTGTTTCTTAAAAGGAGAGAGAAAAAAGCTTTTGAAAGTCCTGTGGGAGATGGTGTTTGTGGATAATACGGAACTGAGATTTGTTCCCACAGGGCCTCAAATCACAGCAGTAACAGCTGGGTCTTCCGAAGGCGGACACTGCAGGACGGAAACACACAAGCTTTCTGTGGAGTCCCTGTAAGACAGACGCCGTACGACATGAAAAGGCCGGATCCCCCTGCGCTGGCGCCAACACACCAGATTCATCCCTCCCTGCCTGATGATGCCCAGTCCCACCGCACTGGCACCAACGCACCAGGTTCCTCCATCCCTGCCTGACGATGCCCAGTCCTACCGCACTGGCACCAACGCACCCAATTCATCCCTCCGTCCCTGCCTGACGATGCCCAGTCCCCCCACACTGGCACCAACACACCGGATTCATCCCTTCCTCCCTCCCCACTCAATGATGCCCAGTCCCCCCACACTGGCACCAACGCACCGGATTCATCCCTCCCTCCCTGCCCGACGATGCCCAGTCCCACCGCACTGGCACCAATGCACCGGATTCATCCTTCCTCCCTGCCCGACAATGCCCAGTCCCCCCACACTGGCACCAACGCACCGGATTCATCCCTCCCTCCCTCCCTGCCCAACGATGCCCAGTTCCCCCGCACTGGCACCAAGGCACCGGGTTCCTCCCTCCCTGCCCGATGATGCCCAGTCCCCTGGCCCCAAAACACACCAGGTTCCTCCCTCCCCGCCCGATGGCCCCGTCTTTACCTCCTTCTCCTTGCTCACTGTCATCTGGGGCTGAGACTCTTTCTTTTTAATCTACTTTTGCTATGATGCATTTAATAAAAAAAAAAGTGGGGGGACAAAATGCAAGCCCATTTCCCTGCCTCAGGCTTCTGATGCCATCACCTCCAAGGCACTGGTTTTGTTTCCAACTGTTAATAAAGCATTGAAACAGAAAAAAAAAAAAAAAACTCCTGAGAAACATCCTGGTTGCTATGACGACAGCAACACCAGGGAGCCTGCTGGACGCACCAACATCCAATGAGCTGCTCAGACCAGGAGGGCTGGGGCTGCTGCAGCACGGCCTGGCCACGTCGCCCCGGGGCCTCGCCGTGTGTGCCACATGCACCAGGACCGAGCCTCTCCCTGCAGCCCCACAGCTGAGCGGGACGGGGGCTGCCCCAGCTCCCAAGCAACTGTTTCTTCTCCACCGCACCCCAAACAGTTCATTCAGTTACCTTCACCAAAGGTGCCTGTTCTGTCTCTCTTAGAGGAAACACGTTTTCTCTTTTTTTTCTGGTGCACAGAGACGTTCATATAAAAAGACAAAGCTGTCTGTGGTATACAGTAAGTACCTAATTATCTGTTGCATGCATGGATGAATAAATGAATTAAAAGAAAAGTAAACTGGTTTCATCCTAACAGCCAAATAAGTAACAGTTCTCATGACCACTTTTCCCACAGACCATGCCTCTAAAACATATGCGGTGTGTTCACCAGCCGGCAGACTGATGAAGACAGCCAACACAGCACCTCGCATCGGCTCTGAAAACTCAACTAACAGGAGTAAAAGGCAGCACTTAAACACATTTAATGTAAACAGCATAACACCGCAAAACCTGATTTCCAACTCCAGGGATCAGGCAGTGAGTAACAAAAACAAAGGCCCTGATCCAAAGCGTCATGACTCCCACGCCCACGGCAGCCCTTCTGGGCCATGGAGGGAAGCTGCACCCTCAGGGTGAGCACAGGCCCAGCCCTGACCGAGGGTTAGGATGCCCAGGCTTCCCTGGAGGCCCACACAGGGTCTCCAAGTGCTGACAGCGAGCTGTCGGGGCTGCCCGCAGCACCCGGAGCCACACCCCTGTACCCAGGAGGAGCTGTGAGGGCATGGGGAGGTCTCCACAGACCCCACCCAGCACTGCTCCTCCCTGCAGGCATCCTGGGGAGGGCCCTCAGGCGGGGCTGGCCTCATGTACTGCTCAACACAGCAGCGGGCGTCTCCCAGGCGCTCAGCAGCTCAGCTCAGCGCCCAGTGAAGAGGGCGGAGGAAGGAATGAAGGCAGCCACGGGTGAGGACGAGGGCCCAGGGCTCCACTGAGCAAAGCTCCTGGCACCAACCCAGACAGAAGACGTCCTGGAGAGGCCAGGGCTGTGCTGGTACTGGCCGCGTCCACCCAGGCTGGGCGCTCTTCTCTTTCCCACGTCATCACGGCGTTTTACTCAACTACAGGTCGGCCTCACTGAAATAACGTGGAACAGGTGATGGCGACAGCCCCGGTGCATGGTCCAGCGAAAGCAACCCCGTCCCAGCAATAAAGCCCAGGGCCTGTTGGGGAAGGAGACCCTGCGGGAGAATTGGAGGAAGTGCGGCTCTCAAGGCTCCCAACCTCAGCCTTTTAGTCGTCCCAACGCAAAACATTCAAAGGGGCCTAAAAATTTTGCTAGGCACACAGCGTCTTCTAACAACATAAAGTATTTACCGGAACAATAGTCTTGTGACTAAAATATCTGAATAAAGGATGAAGAGCCCCGTCTACTTTGGGCTATTTAGAAGCCTGGAACAGCGATCCCAGCCCTGGCCCCTGGGATCCTCACTCGAACAGGTCCTCCTCCAGGCCCTGGCAGGGTCTCAGTGAGGCACAGAAGCCTCTGTGCCATGCGTGGGTAGAGACCCCTCTCCGGGCTCTGAGCTGCTGACTGCAAGGCCCATGTGCCCCCTGGCTCCTGTTCGCCTCTGGACACGGGGGCTCCGTGACTGGCCTCTGAGTGGGCCTGAGTGCCCGTCCGCACTGGCCTCCCCACCCGGCACCCTCCGTGGGACGAGGCTGCACATCTCGGTGGGCTGACTGCGGTGCAGAGGCCATAAGAGGAAGAGGCGGGGGGGCCCCGAGGCAGGGGACACAGCGTCTTGAGGACACAGCATGACCCTGACCCCCACGACCCCTGGCAACACAAGTGCCTTCCCGAAGGGCCTGCGAAGCTGCCAGAAATAGGCAGAACTCGGCGAGGCCGTGGGAGTGGGGTTTCCTCTGGGCCGAGTCGAGGGCAGACGGCACCTGCTCTATCCTCACGCTCAGGAGGGGCAGAGGCCGCTGGGCTTGGATGGAGCCAGGCCCAGGTCTTGTCCAGGGCTCTCCAGGGCACCATGCTCCTCCCTCAAGAGGACTCCTGTGGGTTATGAATGACAGAAGCCCAGGCTGCCATCCTCAAGCAAGGCACCCCCCAATCCTCCTGGCCGGGAGGGGCTGCTGGGAGCCCCTGGCACCAGCGGGCTTCTGTGGGCGGTGGAAGGAGGAGAGGGCTGTGCGGGCTGATTCCAAAACTCACTGGGTGACACCACCTGCCCAGGGAGGGCCCAGCACTGCCGTCCAGGGGGTCTGCCTGTCGTCCAGTCTCCTTGAGAGCACCTCCAGCTCCCTCCAGTCTCCACGGCTCTTCAGAGGGCACGGGAGGTTCTGCTGAGGGGCGGGTGACCAGGCCCAGATGTTAAACCCTCCCAAATAACGGGCATATTCAATGTAATTGAAACTTCCACCACAGGGAGAATGAGTCTATGGTGACGGGGTGGCAGGAGGGGTCCTAGAAGGCGCCCACTGTGCTTACTGGAGGCCTGACCCCGACAACGGCTGAAACAGGGGTCTCCCCCAGGGGCCACTGAAACAGGGGTCTCCCCCAGGGGCCACCTCCCAGGGCACGCTTGGATTTCACTATGGGCTGTGCAAATGGCATCTGGTGGGCAGAGTGCAGGGTGTCTTCTGTTCAGTGTCCTGCTGCACACGGTGCCCCAGGGCACAGGGCCGTCCACCTAGAACACCAATAGTGCCGTGTGGCAGAGGGCCGTCCACCCAAAACACCAATAGTGCCCCTCGGCAGAGGGCCGTCCACCTAGAACACCAATAGTGCCCCTCGGCAGAGGGCCGTCCACCTAGAACACCAAGAGTGCCCCTCGGCAGAGGGCCGTCCACCTAGAACACCAAGAGTGCCCCACGGCAGAGGGCCGTCCACCTAGAACACCAAGAGTGTCCCACGGCAGAGGGCCGTCCACCTAGAACACCAATAGTGCTGCGTGGCAGAGGGCCGTCCACCCAAAACGCAACAGTACCCCAGTTACACGCTCCTGGTGCAAATGACCCTCCTCTCGTGCTTGGTGCAAAGGCTGTTAGCAACGGGCCACACAGGAGATGCTGCCACGTCACTCCAGAGACTCACGCGTCCCGAGACCCAAGTGATCCCTAAACGTCTAGGAGGAGACCTGGCCTTGGAGCCAGGTCAGCCAGAAGGTTGTCCAGGCCGGGCCTCCCCAGGGCTGCCCAGTCTCCCGATGCAGTATAACTCTCAAGGCGCGGGGGCCGCATCACCCAGCACTCTGGAAATGCTGTCCGCAGACCACGGCCACCAGCACATGCACTCTCGTGGTTCTGACTGCCTGTGAATCCAGCTGGTCTACAATGAGCCGCTGGGGAAAATACTTCAAGTCCTGAGATGAATGGAGCAGGAATGCCTCTGGAATATCCTGAGAAACACGACTCCAAACCCTGTCAGCTGGTTCTAACTGTGCTCACTCTTATAAACAGGTAATAAAATATGGGAAAGAAGGCGATTGCAGACAGGGGACCTCTCCTCCACAGAGACGTGTCCACCAGGAGACTGAGGCAAATCCTATGGGTTCAAAACCGAAGTTTCACTGGCGGCTGAAAACACCCAGGGAATAACGAGGAAAGAGAAGGCAAAGGTGGGCTGAAATGAAGCCGCCCTTCTGAGTTCACAAAGGAGCAGAGACACACCGGTGCTGCACAGGAACCCCCAGGGCCCCCGTGTTCCTAGCGCAGCAGAGCCTGCCCCGCATCCAGGCTGCATCTCCTGGGGCTGTGACTCCTCTCCTGAGTCCACACACAGGACCTCACACCTGCACTCACCGGCTGCAGCTGCACACACAGGAGAGCTTCTCACAGGACAAATGCCTGGACCCCACCCAGAGATTGCCATTCTTTGACTAGGACGGGCTCCAGGCAGTAAGAACAGACATTCGTCTTGATTAGAAAGCCTGCAGGTGGTTCTGGGTGCAGCCAGGACTGAGAGGCATTACTTACTGCTGAGAACTGAGAAGGTGTGAAGATGCCCCTACCTCCTCGCCCCACTCACCGGGGAGCTGCGGGTCTCACAGGGGCAGGCAGGAGGCCAGAGACGTCCACGTCTGAGACAAAGGACATCACCGCAACAGCAGAGCCAGAGCTGCAGCGTCTGCAGGTGCCCTGGTTTGCCTCACGCAGTACCAAATTGGGATTGGGAACCCAGTGATGCCTGCACACATATCGGCTGCACCTTGGGAGCAGGGCCTGAGCCTGGGGAACCCTAGTCTCTTATAACGGGCAGTGGCAACAATGCTGACATCTGCCTCGGAGAGAGATGCTTTCTTCCTGATCACGGACAGTGGGCAAACCTCCCTGTGCTCCGAGGCTCCGAGGCTGCTCCCCGGGTGGACACACGCGCTTGAATGGAGAGTGAGGAACAAAGGGAACTGGGTCTTTCTCCCTTGATGCGCCGCACTGAGATAAAACCATGAAGAACGTCTCCCAGCTGCGTCCCGTCTGGGGGCAGCCCCAGAGAAGGAATGGGGGGCAGGGAAAACAACTTTCCTTAACCCAAGCAACGTTTAGTTCACACCCAGCCTGTACGCAAGAGGGGAAGGGACAGGCCTGGGGCTGCACCCCCAGGTGGGTGGTCCCAACAGAGGTTTAACAACCTGGTTCTCTAGGGGAAAAATGCATGCACGAGCTCAACTAGGTTAAGTCATACATTGCACTAGTGTAAAAGATGTGTAGCACACAACTCACAAAAAATAATGAGATACACAGTCCTCTACTTCAAACTCACAGAGCTAATTGATTCTCACAGCAAACTCTTGTCTCTAAGCCAATCCTGGGCTGCATTTAACCAGGATTTGACAAACAGAGGCAACGCACCCTCTGCTAGCTGGTTCTCAAAAAGTGCGTCATCACTGAGTGTGATATGTGTCGACCATTAAAACATTTCTCCCACTCATACAAATTATATTAAGCTGACATCTCTTCTGGCTTTCACACTGGGAATGCTGGCGCTTCACTCATTCATCAATGTCACAAGCAACTTTGTTGAATCAGGTGAAGTTTTAAATGCCAGAAAAACATTGTCTTAATTTTTTTGTGCTATTGCAGTGTAACCGCTATATACAAGATTATTTAATTCAGGGTAGCAAGATTAGATGATCAACAAAACCTTTGTTCAAACGTGAGCTCAATTTCCTCCGATGTGTGGCCCATCCTGATTTCTGTGGTGTGAACATTCCTGGCCGATTTCAAGCGACCAGTGTGGCCCCAAAGCCAGAGAGAGGAGAGCAGGGCCCCGTTCAGAGGCACCCACACCTCCAGAAGCACCCAGCCAGACAGCCTGGAGCCCAGCAGCAATGGCGTGCCGTGAAATCACAGGAAGTGCTGAGTCTGGAGTATCGACTCCCTTCGTCCTCGCGGGGAAATCACGGGGAAGTGGTGAGTCTGGAGTATCGACTCCCTTCGTCCTCGCGGGGAAATCACGGGGAAGTGGTGAGTCTGGAGTATCGACTCCCTTCCTCCTCGCGGGGAAATCACGGGGAAGTGGTGAGTCTGGAGTATCGACTCCCTTCGTCCTCGCGGGGAAATCACGGGGAAGTGGTGAGTCTGGAGTATCGACTCCCTTCGTCCTCGCGGGGAAATCACGGGGAAGTGGTGAGTCTGGAGTATCGACTCCCTTCCTCCTCGCGGGGAAATCACGGGGAAGTGCTGAGTCTGGAGTATCGACTCCCTTCGTCCTCGCGGGGAAATCCCGGGGAAGTGCTGAGTCTGGAGTATCGACTCCCTTCCTCCTCGCGGGGAAATCCCGGGGAAGTGCTGAGTCTGGAGTATCGACTCCCTTCGTCCTCGCGGGGAAATCCCGGGGAAGTGCTGAGTCTGGAGTATCGACTCCCTTCGTCCTCGCGGGGAAATCCCGGGGAAGTGCTGAGTCTGGAGTATCGACTCCCTTCCTCCTCGCGGGGAAATCACGGGGAAGTGCTGAGTCTGGAGTATCGACTCCCTTCCTCCTCGCGGGGAAATCCCGGGGAAGTGCTGAGTCTGGAGTATCGACTCCCTTCCTCCTCGCGGGGAAATCCCGGGGAAGTGGTGAGTCTGGAGTATCGACTCCCTTCCTCCTCGCGGGGAAATCCCGGGGAAGTGCTGAGTCTGGAGTATCGACTCCCTTCCTCCTCGCGGGGAAATCCCGGGGAAGTGCTGAGTCTGGAGTATCGACTCCCTTCCTCCTCGCGGGGAAATCCCGGGGAAGTGCTGAGTCTGGAGTATCGACTCCCTTCCTCCTCGCGGGGAAATCCCGGGGAAGTGCTGAGTCTGGAGTATCGACTCCCTTCCTCCTCGCGGGGAAATCACGGGGAAGTGCTGAGTCTGGAGTATCGACTCCCTTCCTCCTCGCGGGGAAATCCCGGGGAAGTGCTGAGTCTGGAGTATCGACTCCCTTCCTCCTCGCGGGGAAATCCCGGGGAAGTGCTGAGTCTGGAGTATCGACTCCCTTCGTCCTCGCGGGGAAATCCCGGGGAAGTGCTGAGTCTGGAGTATCGACTCCCTTCGTCCTCGCGGGGAAATCCCGGGGAAGTGCTGAGTCTGGAGTATCGACTCCCTTCGTCCTCGCGGGGAAATCCCGGGGAAGTGCTGAGTCTGGAGTATCGACTCCCTTCGTCCTCGCGGGGAAATCCCGGGGAAGTGCTGAGTCTGGAGTATCGACTCCCTTCCTCCTCGCGGGGAAATCCCGGGGAAGTGCTGAGTCTGGAGTATCGACTCCCTTCCTCCTCGCGGGGAAATCCCGGGGAAGTGCTGAGTCTGGAGTATCGACTCCCTTCGTCCTCGCGGGGAAATCCCGGGGAAGTGCTGAGTCTGGAGTATCGACTCCCTTCGTCCTCGCGGGGAAATCCCGGGGAAGTGCTGAGTCTGGAGTATCGACTCCCTTCGTCCTCGCGGGGAAATCCCGGGGAAGTGCTGAGTCTGGAGTATCGACTCCCTTCGTCCTCGCGGGGAAATCCCGGGGAAGTGCTGAGTCTGGAGTATCGACTCCCTTCGTCCTCGCGGGGAAATCCCGGGGAAGTGCTGAGTCTGGAGTATCGACTCCCTTCGTCCTCGCGGGGAAATCCCGGGGAAGTGCTGAGTCTGGAGTATCGACTCCCTTCGTCCTCGCGGGGAAATCCCGGGGAAGTGCTGAGTCTGGAGTATCGACTCCCTTCGTCCTCGCGGGGAAATCCCGGGGAAGTGCTGAGTCTGGAGTATCGACTCCCTTCCTCCTCGCGGGGAAATCCCGGGGAAGTGCTGAGTCTGGAGTATCGACTCCCTTCCTCCTCGCGGGGAAATCCCGGGGAAGTGCTGAGTCTGGAGTATCGACTCCCTTCGTCCTCGCGGGGAAATCCCGGGGAAGTGCTGAGTCTGGAGTATCGACTCCCTTCGTCCTCGCGGGGAAATCCCGGGGAAGTGCTGAGTCTGGAGTATCGACTCCCTTCGTCCTCGCGGGGAAATCCCGGGGAAGTGCTGAGTCTGGAGTATCGACTCCCTTCGTCCTCGCGGGGAAATCCCGGGGAAGTGCTGAGTCTGGAGTATCGACTCCCTTCGTCCTCGCGGGGAAATCCCGGGGAAGTGCTGAGTCTGGAGTATCGACTCCCTTCGTCCTCGCGGGGAAATCCCGGGGAAGTGCTGAGTCTGGAGTATCGACTCCCTTCGTCCTCGCGGGGAAATCCCGGGGAAGTGCTGAGTCTGGAGTATCGACTCCCTTCGTCCTCGCGGGGAAATCCCGGGGAAGTGCTGAGTCTGGAGTATCGACTCCCTTCGTCCTCGCGGGGAAATCCCGGGGAAGTGCTGAGTCTGGAGTATCGACTCCCTTCGTCCTCGCGGGGAAATCCCGGGGAAGTGCTGAGTCTGGAGTATCGACTCCCTTCGTCCTCGCGGGGAAATCCCGGGGAAGTGCTGAGTCTGGAGTATCGACTCCCTTCGTCCTCGCGGGGAAATCCCGGGGAAGTGCTGAGTCTGGAGTATCGACTCCCTTCGTCCTCGCGGGGAAATCCCGGGGAAGTGCTGAGTCTGGAGTATCGACTCCCTTCGTCCTCGCGGGGAAATCCCGGGGAAGTGCTGAGTCTGGAGTATCGACTCCCTTCGTCCTCGCGGGGAAATCCCGGGGAAGTGCTGAGTCTGGAGTATCGACTCCCTTCGTCCTCGCGGGGAAATCCCGGGGAAGTGCTGAGTCTGGAGTATCGACTCCCTTCCTCCTCGCGGGGAAATCCCGGGGAAGTGCTGAGTCTGGAGTATCGACTCCCTTCGTCCTCGCGGGGAAATCCCGGGGAAGTGCTGAGTCTGGAGTATCGACTCCCTTCCTCCTCGCGGGGAAATCCCGGGGAAGTGCTGAGTCTGGAGTATCGACTCCCTTCCTCCTCGCGGGGAAATCCCGGGGAAGTGCTGAGTCTGGAGTATCGACTCCCTTCCTCCTCGCGGGGAAATCCCGGGGAAGTGCTGAGTCTGGAGTATCGACTCCCTTCCTCCTCGCGGGGAAATCCCGGGGAAGTGCTGAGTCTGGAGTATCGACTCCCTTCGTCCTCGCGGGGAAATCCCGGGGAAGTGCTGAGTCTGGAGTATCGACTCCCTTCGTCCTCGCGGGGAAATCCCGGGGAAGTGCTGAGTCTGGAGTATCGACTCCCTTCCTCCTCGCGGGGAAATCACGGGGAAGTGCTGAGTCTGGAGTATCGACTCCCTTCGTCCTCGCGGGGAAATCCCGGGGAAGTGCTGAGTCTGGAGTATCGACTCCCTTCGTCCTCGCGGGGAAATCCCGGGGAAGTGCTGAGTCTGGAGTATCGACTCCCTTCCTCCTCGCGGGGAAATCACGGGGAAGTGCTGAGTCTGGAGTATCGACTCCCTTCGTCCTCGCGGGGAAATCCCGGGGAAGTGCTGAGTCTGGAGTATCGACTCCCTTCGTCCTCGCGGGGAAATCCCGGGGAAGTGCTGAGTCTGGAGTATCGACTCCCTTCCTCCTCGCGGGGAAATCCCGGGGAAGTGCTGAGTCTGGAGTATCGACTCCCTTCGTCCTCGCGGGGAAATCCCGGGGAAGTGCTGAGTCTGGAGTATCGACTCCCTTCGTCCTCGCGGGGAAATCACGGGGAAGTGCTGAGTCTGGAGTATTTATTCCCTTCGTCCTCGCGGGGAAATCACAGGAAGTGGTGAGTTTGGAGTATCGATTCCCTTCGTCCTTGTGGGGAAATCACGGGGAAGTGGTGAGTCTGGAGTATTTATTCCCTTCGTCCTCAGCGTATGTGATGGGATTCTGAATGGGGGCTGTGTTTATCTGGGCATAAAACTCCTGAAGATTGGCAGCAGGAGTCCACGCAGAGACCTCCTGGAGATGGGCGCGCTACACGAGCTTTTGAAATGAGCAAGTTTCCAGAGCCGGCGGGATTGCGGGGGCACCTGGGAAGGCAAAGTCACCTGCACCCGCTCTGCAGCCCCGGCCTGCGCCTCTGGAGGGAGGGCCCCGGGCAGTGCCAGCAGGAACGAGCCTGCCTCAGAGCCCCAAGTCTCAGTGGAGCTCCTTCCAGGCTGACATGGGGCTGACGGCTCCCGGGGCCAGCAGGGCGCCCGCCCGACACCACCACAACCCATTTCAGTGACAGATAACTTCAGACAACTTATCAGAGGGCCTTGGAGGGCCGGAGGCAGCAACACACACAGCCTGATTCTGGGAGCAGCATTTCCTTCCAAAAACCTTAAATCGGATAATGAGCCGGGCGCGGTGGCTCTTGCCTTTAATACCAGAATTTTGAGAGGCTGAGGCTGACGGATGGCTCGAGCCCAGGAGTTGGAGACCAGCCTGGCCAACATAGCGAAACCTCATCTCTACTAAAAATACAAAAAATTAGCTGGGCGTGGTGGCGCACGCCTGTAGTCCCAGCTATTTGTGAGGCTGAGGTGGGAGGATCACTTGATCCCAGGAGGTGGAGGTTGCAGTGAGCCATGATCACACCACTGCACTCCAGCCTGGATGACAGAGTGAGGCCCTGTCTCAAAAAAAAATAAAAGGAAAGAGAGACACATCAGTCACAGATACACACACAACAAATCTAAAATAGACATGTGAAGGCCTACACAATTAAGGAATAATATTTTGGAAATGTCAATGATTAACGTGCCTTTAGACTTAAAAAATTCTGCTGTGTGACTTATTTTCTAACACCTCAGCTGCACACCCTTGAGCCACAGTTCTGCTCACTCTCAGGGCCACATAAGGAAGGTTCTCAGTCTTCCCCGCCCTGGAGCTCCCAGCCATTTGCTCTGATCCCTTCTACAGCAATTCTCTTGGGCTCCTTCAAGTGTAAGCCTCTTGCCCCCTAGGGAAAGGAATGCCTGAAGAATCACACTTCGACTTCCTTATCTGAAGGCCATACTTGATGGATTTGAACAGATTTGCACATTTAAATTCCCAAATTAATTTTTTTTTTTTTTGAGACGGAGTTTCACTTTTATTGCCCAGGCTGGAGTGCGATGGTGCAATCTTGGCTCACGGCAACCTCCGCCTCCCAGGTTCAAACAGTCTCCTGCCTCAGCCTCCTGAGAAGTTGGGATTACAAGCGTGCGCCACCATGCCCAGCTAATTTTGTATTTCTATTAGAGACAAGGTTTCTCCATGTTGGTCAGGCTGGTCTTGAACTCCCGACCTCAGGTGATCCAACCGCCTTGGCCTCCCAAAGTGCTGGGATTACAGGCGTGAGCCACTGTGCCTGGCCCTAAAATTCCCAAATTAATTTTCACATGGTAAAATGTTCCCTGGTTACTAATAACAATAAATAAGATTATGGAAACAAAGTAGAGACGATCCGTAAGAAATAAATAGGGATTAAAAACTCCACCATATATGAAGTTCATAATTACCAGCACAGCGGTGCAGGGACAGCCCCCAGCTCCTCCTCCCAGGGCAGCAGAGCCTGGCGAGTCCCGAATCCCTGGTGGAGCTCCCCTCAAGCCTCCCAGCAGGGCTCTGTCCCCTAAGCCTTCTGCTCCTTCGCTCCTTCCTGCTGCACTTTCTGCTACTTGCACAGCAATTTCTAATAGTTCTCATTAGAGGGGCAGAGCAGCTGAAAAGGGTGAAGAAAATAAGAGACCAAGATGGCAGGGATGTTCGGAGGAGGAGAGAGGAGGGGAGACGAGGGGAGACGAGGGGAGACGAGCGGGGAGGAGGGGGGGAGGAGGGGGGAGGGGGAAGGGGAAAGCTGCAGAGAATGAAGGTGAGGACCTGGTGGAAACCTCACAGAGGGTGATTTGAATACAACCTGATCTTCCCTGGCATGGAGGGCAGGAGGCGGCCACCTGAGCCCCGCACAGGTGCCCGGCAAGCCCAGGCAGAGGACCAAGCAGAAGGTGCTGTCTGATCCAGCCGCAGAACTAAGGAACGCCTTTAGCCCCTGCTCCCAGCTGCAGAAGAGTTGCCCGGTGACCCAGGAAGCAGGAGGAAAGGGCAGGCCTGGGCCAGCCCTGCACGGACATCAGCCCTGCACAGACATCAGCCGCGCACGGCCGCCCCACAGCCTGCACACAGGTGTTCACGGCACGTGTGTGGGTGTCTTGATTGACACCACACAACTCCCTGCTTTTAAAGGGCACGATCCCGTGGTTTTTAGTGTATTCCGAGTTGAGCAACCGTTATCACGATTGACGCGAGCATTTCCGTCCCCCTGAACGAAACCCACCCTCCTCCCCCAGCCCCCGGCAACCACGAGTCCACTCTGTGTCTCTGTGGGTCTGCTTGTCCTGGACATTTCATGGAATGGGACCACACGGTCCTTCCCCTTCTGTGCCTGGCTGCTTTCACTGAACGTCCTGTCTTCAAGGTTCGCCCGTGCTTAGCCCGTCACAGCTCTGCCCATCTTCCTGGCCAGATGATATTTCATGTCACGGATGGAACGCATTCTGTGTATTTGTTAATCACTGATGGATGTTTGGGCTGTTCCCAGCTTTCAGTTGTTGTGAATGGTGCCGCTGTGAAGTGTGCACAAGTTCCCATGTGAACACGGACAGCTTTGGGATTCTCTTGATTATTTACCAACGGGTGGGGCCGCACGGCAACAGGTTTAATTACCCTAGGAGCCACCCGGCTGCCTGCCCAGGGCCGTGCCTTCACACCTGCCTGCAAAGCGCAAGCGTTACCATGTCTCTACACCCTCGTCAGCACTTGTTACTGTCTTTTTGGTTATATATTTGCTTTGAGTCAGAGAAATATCTGTCTTTAATTTTGTTTTGTTTTGTTTTATGATGGCAAAATGGGGGTACATGATTGTGGCAACAGTTTTGAGACAGTTAATATTTTTGGTGTAAGACCAGACAGATGAAGAAACTGTCTCTGAAGAGAAGGGACCGAGGCTCCTCCCTGCGTGGCAGCAAAAGGTCCACAACACATCACTTTGGGTCTCCTGTCCCAGGAGATTCCGCTTCCGACCAGGCAGGCTTGCCCCCTGAGCTCATCACAGCGTGAGTCTGGGTTCACATTGCCCACACTGGAGCATGGGCTGTGAAACTACAAGAGAAAAACACCTCACAGCAGAGAGCCCACGTGACAAGCACACATGCCTGACGGGCACGGGCGTCTCTGCAGCAGGCTCAGGCAGTGAACACGCAGACCCTTGCTTCCTCTAAATTCACAGGGCTGGCCCTCAGGTATGCGTAACAAAAAGAACGCCAGTTCCCTTTTCCTGGAGAAAATACAAGAGGTTCCAGAGCCTTAATCTACAACTCCAGTTCAAAGTTTCAAGTAGAAGGTGGAGAGAGGTGGGAACATTCTATTTTTGAAGGTTTCCCTATAAAATCTGTTACATACATATATATGTATGTTTTTTGGTGGTGTTATTGTTCAGTAATACCAGAAATGCATGGTAGAAAACTTTCAACTATAGGAGTCCAAGATTAAAAATTAAGAGTAGCCCTAAAGCCCCATGCCCATCTGTAGACGCACTCTCTAGAAATAACCACAGTTACTAATTTCTTAGTTTTTTGAGCTAGCATTTCAACTTTAAATAACAGTCCCATTGCTATTTCTTAGATCAACTTAAAATCAGCTGCTGGCTCCCTGCTGTGAAAGATGAAGGGTCTGGGGCCACATGGGTCCCCCTCCACTGTCATGTCCCACATTTCAGTGGAAAGGCTTCCGAGATTTCCCCATTTGGTGTGAGGTCGTGTCCCAGATTTCAGTGGAAAGGTTTCTGAGCTTTCCCCATTCGGTATGAGGTTAGCTATGGTTTTGTCATCAACAGGCTCTACCATTTTGAGGTATGTTCCTCTATACCCAATCTGTTGAGTTTTTGTCATGAGGGATGCTGAATTGTATCAAATGCTTTTCCAGCACTGACTGAAATAATCATGGTTTTTGTTCTGGGTTATATCCATGTGACCGATCACATTTATTGATGAGCAGGTATTAAACCATCCCTGCATTCCTGGATGAGTCCCACCTGTCATGCTGAATGGTCTTTCTAATGTGCTGCTGGCATCTGCTTGCTGGTGTCTTGCTGAGGACTTTTGTGTCTGTGTTCATCAGAGACATTGGCCTTTAGTTTTCTTTTTGTGTTGTGTCCTTGTCTGGTTTGGGTATCAGGTAACACTAACCTCACTGCTTGAGTTTGGAAGTATCCCCTTCTCTCCATTTGTTTGGATTAGTTTGAATATAATTGGTATTAGTTCTTTAAATGTTTGAATGATCCATCAGGGCCTGGGCTTTTTCTTTGCTGGGAGATTTTTTGTTCTGATTTCTACGTCTGTTCAGGTTCTGTTTCTTTATGGCCCCACCTTGGTAGGTTGTATGTGTCCAGGAATTTATAAAATTTCTCTAGGTTTTCTAATGTATTGGTGTATAGCTGTTCATAATAGTCTCTAGTGAGCCTTTGTATTTCTGTGCTATCAGTTATAATGTTTCTTTTTCCATCCTTGATTTTATTTATTGGGGTCTTATCTTTTTTTTTTCTTAGTCTAGCTAGAGCTTTGTCAATTTTATCTTTTCAAAAAAATCAGCTTTTCATTGTGTTGATCTTTTGTCTCTTTTGTCTCAATTTCATTCATTTCTGCTCGGATCTTTGTTATTTCTTTCCTTCTACTAATTTGGGGGTTGGCTTCTTGATTTTCCAGTTCCTTGTGGTGCATCACTAGGTTGTTTACTTGAAGTCTTTCTACTTCTATGACATAGGCATTCATTGCTATAAATGTCCCTCTTAGCACTGCTTTTGCTGTATCCCATAGGTTTTGGTATGTTATGTTTCCATTTTCATTTGTTTCAAGAAATTTTAAATTTTCCCTCTTAATTTCTTCCCTGACCCACTGGTCATTCGGGAGCATGTTGTTTAATTTCCATGTGTTTGCATAGTTTCCAAAGTTCCTCTTGCTATGGTTTCTAGTTTTTTTGATTGTGTTGAGAAAAGAGACTTGATATAATTTTGACGTTTTTTAATTTTTTGAGATTGTTTTGTGAGCTAACCTATAGTCTATCCTGGAGAATGTTCCACTTGCCAATGAGAATAATGTGTATTCTGCAGCTGTTGGATGAAATATTCTGTTAATGTTTGTCAGGCTCTTTTGGCCTAGAGTATAGTTTAACTCCAATGCTTCTTGTTGATTTTTCTGCCTGGATGACCTTCCCGTTGCTGAAAGTGGGGTGTGAAGTCCCCTACTATTATTGTATTACAGTCTGTCTCTCTCTTTAGATATATTAATATTTGCTTTATATATATCGGGGTGCTCTGGTACTGGGTGCATATATATTTACTATTGTTATATCACCTTGCTGAATTGACCTCCTTTTGTAGCCCTCATAAGGCTTATGAAAAACATTCAGTAGTTATAACAAGTTATTAAAACTGATACCAACTTACCTTTGATTGTAAAAAAAAGAGACAAAACCATGTACATGTTAACTCTCTTCTCCTCCCATATTTTGAATTTTTGGTGTCACAATTTATATTTTGATATTGCCTATCTCCTAACTAATTGTTGTGGTTATTATTTTATTAATTGTGTCTTTCATTCTTCTTACAAAAGATAGAAGTGGTTTACACACCATAATTACAGTATTAGTATGACAATCACATTAGCATCCTTTTCCTTTGGTTTGAAGAACTCCCTTTAGGGCTTCTTGTAGGACAGGTGTGGTAGTGATGAGTCTCCTCAGCTTTTGTTTGTCTGAGAAAGCTGCCATCTCTCCTTCATTTCTGAATGATAGCTTTGCTGGGTACACTATTTTTAGTTGACAATTGTTTTCCTTTAGCACTCTGAATATATCATCCCACTCCCTCCTGGCCTATAAGGTTTCTGCTGAGAAGTTGCTGCTAGGTATATTGGATCTCCCCAAAATGTTGTTTGCTTCTTTTCTCTTGCTGCTTTTGACATCATCTCTTTGATCTTTGAGAGTTTTTTGATTATAGTATGTCTTATTCTTATTTGGGTTGAATCTGATTGGTGACCTTTGACCTTCCTGTACCTGAATATTTCTATCTTTCTCCAGGTTGGAAAGTTTGCTGTTACTTATTTGAATAGGTCTTCTTCTGCCTTGTTTTTCTCAATTCCCTTTTTAACTCTGATAGCTTGAATATTTGTTCTTTTGATGTTGTCCCATAGATCTTGTAAGCTTTCTTCATTTCTTTTCATTTTTTTTCTTTTTTCTTCTCTGTGTATTTTCAAATACTCTGTCTTTGAGCTCACTGATTCCTCCTTCTATTTGATCAGTTCTGCTACTAATGCTCTCTCTTTCATTTTTGCATTTCATTCACTGTATTTTTCTGCTCTAAGATTTCCATTTGATTTTTTCTATTACTTCAATCTGTTAACTTTCTCTGATAAATTTGTAAATTCAGTCTCTGTTTTCTTGAAGTTCATTGAGCTTCCTGAAAACAGCTATTTTGAATCCTTTGTCTGAGAGATCACACATCTCCATCATCATGTTAGGGCCCGTCTCTCGCACCTTATTTTATCCATTTCGTAAGGTCACATTTGCCTGAATGTTCTTGGTGCTTGTGGATGTATGATAATGTCTGAATCCCAAGAGTCCCACAGAGAGACTTTTGACTGTGCATAGGTACAGAATTCTTGTTGTTGTGGGAAATATGAGCAGGTTACCTTCAATTCCACCACTCAATAAACTAAACATAGCATTACCATATGATCCACCAATTTCACTCCTAGGTATATACTTAAAAGAATTGAAAACTGGTGTGCAAATCAAAACAAACACGAATGTTCATAGCAGCACTATTCACAATAGTCCAAAAAGGTGAAAACAACCCAAATGTCCATCAACACATGAACGGATAAACAAAATGTGATATGTCATTTGTGGCTGCCAGGAGATGGGAAGTGATTACTTAAAGGATGTTCTTCTGGGGTGATTACAAAGTGTTGAAACTAGAGAGGGATGATGGCTGCACAGCATTGTAAATGTGCTAAATGCCACTGAATCGTACACTTTAAAATTCTTAAAATGCTGAATTTCATGTTATGTGTATTTTGCAACTTAAAAAAAACATGTTTACCTAAGTATTGATAGAGGCAACATTGGCAAATGTGAATGTGTTTAGTACACATGCATCACATTCTACCTGACATCCTTTTTTGGAGCAAGAAAGGGTATAAATAAATACTTCTTTTAGAGCTTATATTTAATTGTATTATTTTTATTTATGCATTTTGTTGGGCTATAATATACACTCAGTAAATAGAGCTCACACGTTTAGATATGTGCACAGCCACACAGTCAGTACCGAGACCGAGGCGCGGGCTCCCCCGCTCCAGAATCTCCTCTCATATCCCGCCCCACCTAAAGCTTAGCACTCTTCAGAGTTCTAGAGTCACCCTATTCTTACATCTCAGCTCAACAGAACCATGCAGTATGTACTTCATCTGCTGCTCTAGTAGGGGGTTAAAGGTGATGCTATTATTCTACCTTTCATTTTAATTCATGAAATGAAATAATTTTATAAGCGGAATTTACTATTTAGTAACCCATCAGTGAAGTTCACACAGGAAAGTCAGGATAAATGCTTGATTATTCCCTTTTATTTACTGGGTTTTCAAATAATGACTTGGCTACCTATCATCCTCCATTGGTGAATAATTTGGGGCTTTTCAGTAATTTTCTGCAATTATTTTTTATTGAGATGTAATTCACATATCATACAATTCACCCTTTAAGTGTAAACACAGTGGTTTTTAGTATATTCACAGAGCTATAAAACCATCACCACTAACTCCAGAGAATTTTCATGACCCGAAAAAGAAACCCCATACCCATTCCCACTCCCATCTCCCCTCCCTACAGTCCCTGGCATCCATTAATCCACCTTCTATCACTACAGATTTGCCTGTCCTGAACATCTCACAGAAATGGAATCACACATGTGGCCTCCTGCACCTGGCTTCCTTGATGCAGCCTCATGTTTTCTAGATTTTTCCATGCTGTAGTCTCAGGGCTTCACTCCTTCCTGCGGCTGATTAATGGAGACTTGTTTATGTCATGCACACACCTTCACATGCGTCCACTCACACTCACAAGTCATCAAAGAGCTCAAGCAGCAGGCAAGGCTCAGGAGAGGCACTCTGAGGGACAGGATGATGGGCCCGGCTGTTTCCAAAACCAGGTGGCTTGGGGCGACTCATCCAACCTCTCCAGGCCTCAGTTTCCCCATCTGTAAGCTGAGTGGCTGGGCCTCAGGTGACCCTGGGTCTCTTTCCAACTCCACAATTCTGTGATTTGAGCAAATAAGTCCAATCCTGAGTTTTGTCTCACTTTCTAATCCAGTAAAAGTTAAGCTATTGTGTTTACTTGACTCAGCAGAGTGTGTGGGGGCAGAGCAATTATGACATAAAACCACGATCCTCTTTGGTACTACAAGCTAATCAACGTTAATTTTTCACACAACGACTGGGAAAATCTGCCTACAGGAAGATGCCACCCTGGGTGGCACTGGTGTGCCGGGAGGGGGTGCTCTCCAGGTGGCCCTGGCGGCATCGGTGTGCTGGGAAGGGGGTGCTCTCTGGGTGGCCTGGGTGGCATCGGTGTGCCGGAAAAGGGGTGCTCTCCAGGTGGCCCTGGCGGCATCGGTGTGCTGGGAAGGGAGTGCGCAGGCCCACCCCGGCGTGCTGCCTGGGAGTCCACGTTCTCGAAAATGCAGGGTGACCCTGGCGCAGGATCGGGTCTGAGAGCTGCTCACCGACCCATGCCTCCTCTAGCAAATCGCCTCTCTCACAGTCACCTCAACAGCATCTCAGCCGTTGTCCGACACTGGGTGATTCTGCACGCCCGGCTCGGAACCCTGTGCATTGCCCATCTGTGAGCCGACCTCCTGCCTGAAGCCACCTTCTCATAGCGCTCAGTACTGGGGACCCTGGCCGGGAAGTTTGCACAGAGTATGAGCTCTGGCTGACCATCCATGTCCTGGGTACAACTCACCCTCCTCCGTGATTCAAACTGTTCCAGCCTGGAATAACCCGATTGCTCCTATGGGAACAACTGCTCCTTTCCAGCCAAATGACCCATTTCCCAAACGCCTTCCCTTTCCATTCTCTAAATACTGTAGCACCACACTGACTAGCGTGCGGGTCTCCACCACAGTTATGACCACCCTTCCCTCCTCGTCCCCCAAAGCACTCAACAGCTCTCCAGCACCCACCGAATGAAGCACTGACCCTTCAGCCAGGCTCTGGAGCCCCTACAAGCAACGTCCGTCTGTGTCCAGGCCGATCTCGCTGCTCCCTCGGACGTACTCGCCCTACACCCCAGCCAAACGCACTCCGTGTTTGCCAACATGTGCGCCTTTGAACATGCGTTCTCTCCGCCTGCAGTGCCCTCCTCTGTGTCTCAATCCTTCCCGTGCACCAGGCCACTCTGAGTCTGCTCCTCCACGAGGCTCCCAGATCACCCCCAAAGCCACCACACCTGTCCCTGAGTGTTCATGGCGTCACAGTTGTCACTGAGGCTGTGGCACTTCCCCTTCCACCAGGCACAGCAGCTATAGTTGTGTGCACACATCCCCTCCTGAACCGAGCAGTTCTCCGCAGATATGGGCTGACCAAATGAGCATCTTTAGAGCTAACTGGGAACTGTCCAGGGGCGAGAGGCCTGGGTGGTCTTAGTACTGTCACTCATCTCTGCTTCAGTTAACTTGAGCAATAAAATACCCTGCAGATAAGGTCAGACGGCAGGTGCCAGTGTGTCCTGAAAAGCCGCAAGTCTACAAGCAGCCGGCAACCTGCCCGGCTATGCTGTGTGCATCCCCACAGGGCGCCAGGAGCAAACACCCAAACACCCATCCTATTCCCGATTCAGGGCAATGGTCCAAAAGACGCCATCGCTGCTACATGAGACAGAACGTCACAGCGAAGAGGCAGGCAGCAAATAGATGCCTCAGGGCGTTTCTCAAAGAAAGGCATGATGCAGCCTGAAAACCCCACCAGAAGTGTCTTCCTGAAGCATCTAAACGCCCTCTGAGTTCCTTCTCCCAGAAGAGAGCAGTTACATGAAGCAGCAATCACAGAACGGAAGTGCCCGGCCACAAAGGCTGCCGTCCTTCTCCTCGTCCCAGTCCATCTTACAGAATGGCTCCCCTCTGCAGGGCCACACAGTTGCCCGGGATGCAGACGCTGAGACGGGAGCTGATGTGCAGGTTTCTAGGGCAAGAGGCGGGAGAGAGTGGGCAGCCGACAGGACGGGGGACGCAGCCTATGCGGAGTGGATGCCTCAGGAAGGCCCTGCCTGGGTCTCAAGGCCCCACCATGGGGTCTTGTCTCATTCGTGACCCTGTGCACGCCGTGCAGCAGTGCAGACGGCCGGGGCCCCACCACAGGGGGTCCAGGGAGACCACCAGCGAGAGAGTGGATACCCCTGGGAACAAAGCGGGCCCAGATGGAGACCTCAGACAAAGGCAGCTCTCAGCCCTCAGCTGAGCACGCCGAGGGGCTACAGCCCCCATCCAGGCCCAGGCCGGCTGCCAGCACAGAGAGGCCCAAGTGGACCCCAGGGCCAAAACCCCAAGTCTGGGGGCTGCAGGGGAGCACGGCACCTGGCTAAAGACACAGCACACAGGGCTACAGCGGGCAGCCTGTGGTCAACAGCTCATCAGCGACGAGCCAGGCCCAGCCAAGACAGCAGGAAAAAAAATCAAACGGGAGGCCATGCCCTCTACCCTGGGGGCAGAGCTGAGAGGACAGAGAACAGGCGGACAAGGCAACAGGGACCCAGGTGCGGGTCAGCAGGCGCTAAGGATCCCAGGGTCTGCGTGCCCAGCCAGGCCTCACACCAGCGACATCCAGGGGTCTGCACCAGAGCCATGGGGGAACAGAGACACGAACAGGTGAAAGTTCAGCAGGGCTGCAGGCGCCCAGGCCAGCCCTGAGGCAGAGACGTGAACAGGCGAAAGTGCAGCAGGGCTGCAGCCCTGAGACCTGGTGGGCTGGGGTCAGGACGTTAAGGGTGTGTGTGTGTGGAATGGGGCTGGCCGGCCCCCTCCCAACAAGATGTAGGAAACCCCATGGCCGGGATGAGGGGAGGCAGGAAGGGCAAGGGGCATGGAGGCCGGCTGAGAGTCCAGAGGAGAGACCAGCCCAGACCCAGGGAAGAAGGAACCCCGTGGGATGTCCCAGACAGCAAGGAGAGAGGCAGTGGAAGGCACAAGGGCGGGAGAAAGACCTCAGAAGGGATTTAAAGAATGAAGAAATAAAAGCTCTGAAATTTATTTTAACAGAGCTTTGGGCTACACTCTAACCTTTGCTTCAGCAGCACAAGAAAAAGAGGCTGCACAGAGTGGCCCCGCAGGCCAGAAGGCAGCAACGCCCACTGATGCCGGACCACAGCAGTCGGGGCCCGGCCACCCGAGCCCCCCAGACCACAGCAGTCGGGGCCCGGCCACCCGAGCCCCCCAGACCACAGCAGTCGGGGCCCGGCCACCCGAGCCCCCCAGACCACAGCAGTCGGGGCCCGGCCACCCGAGCCCCCCAGACCACAGCAGTCGGGGCCCGGCCACCCGAGCCCCCCAGACCACAGCAGTCGGGGCCCGGCCACCCGAGCCCCCCAGACCACAGCAGTCGGGGCCCGGCCACCCGAGCCCCCCAGACCACCCCTCCTTTTCTCAAGGTCAGAACAGCAGTGAAGGTCAGAGCCAGAAGCACAGCAGACGCTCCCAAGCCACAGGCAGCTGCTGAGGCCTGAGCCGGGGACGAAGCTCCTCCCTGCATGGGGACACGCGGGGCTGCAGCCACTCCCAGGCCTCCATCACACAGGGACGGTACAGAAATAGCGTGTCTTGTGGGTGGGTGCTGGGTCGGGGAGGGAGGGCGACTGCCTCTCCCTTTCCAGGCACATTTGGATTCCCCGGGGTGTCCGGGAATGACTCAGGCCTCTGGTCAGCGCTTCTCAGACCTGTGTTCACACAGCGCGTCTCCCTCCTTTCCCTCCCTGCCTGGGACCTAAGTACGGCTCTGTTTAAAACTGGCCCAAATGCAGGGTCAGCGCCTGAGATGCAGCCCCCACAGCAGCCCCCCCACAGCCCCCCCACAGCCCCCCCAGCCCCCCCACAGCCCCCCACAGCAGCCCCCCCACAGCCCCCACAGCAGCCCCCCCACAGCCCCCACAGCAGCCCCCCCACAGCCCCCCACAGCAGCCCCCCCACAGCCCCCCACAGCAGCCCCCCCACAGCCCCCCACAGCAGCCCCCCCACAGCCCCCCACAGCAGCCCCCCCACAGCCCCCCCACAGCAGCCCCCCCACAGCCCCCCACAGCAGCCCCCCCACAGCCCCCCACAGCAGCCCCCCGTAGCCCCCACCCCACAGCCCCCCCACAGCCCCCCTGCAGCCCCCCACAGCCCCCACATGCTCCACTCGATGCTCACACGCACAGTTTTATCTCCTTAACTCTAATGCTGTTTAAAAACTATTGTCCTAATCAAGCAAGAAAAACTGCAGGTTTGCAAAGCGTCTGCTCTGGAAGAGCGGCAGGCCAGGGTGGAGAGACCACACTGCCACACCTGAACACAGCAAGGCTTTCCAAACTCTGCGCAATAGGAAGACGCCGAATGGTAAATGGAGGAGCTCGCAGGAGACGCAGCTCTGACTCTGCCCCGCCCCGGCCCGCGGTGCTGAGGGCGCGCCGATGTGGATGCCTCTGTGCCAGCACCAGCGGCTGCCCCTCGGCCCCGACCCTCCCCACTGCGTCCTGGGGCACCCTCAGAGCTTCGGCCATGGGGTGCACAGCACCCTCCAAGCATTCTGAAAGGAGATTTTAGACTCTTGTGCGCAACACCCAGGAGCCGCCCGCCTGCAAAGCACTTGGTCAGCGTGGCCTGGAAAGGGGAGGAAGGTCCTGGAGGCAGGGCTCTGTCAGGCGGAGGACGTGATGCTCAGAGCAGCCAGGGACCCCCGTCTGGGCCCAGTCCCCCTGCGCTGCGCCCCACGGCTGGCTGGAAGTTTGTTCTGGAAACCACCTCCAAGACAAGTGCAGCAGCCGGCCCTAGCAGTTGGGAAGAAGGCGGCTGACGTGGCTTCCATGGAAAATGCCAGAAAGCACATCCCACACCAGGACACCTGGGCAAACAGCCTCAACTCGGAAAATCCCAGGCTGGTTCGGTCTCTCTGCTGCCCGGACCTGTTTAAATGTCCAGCCGTTTGGGAACTGTGTACCCTTCGAGAAACACTCCAAGGCCCCAGGGACACCGGAAGCCGTGGAGCCCGGGCCCCATGCGTCTGTGTTCTCGCCACCTGGAGAGGCTGCTAGTGACTGACAGGTGGACTGCGGGGCCTCAACTGCTACTGAGAATGCCACACAATTTTAAAAACTCAGAAATTGCTTATTTTTAGAATTTTCCATTTAACATTTTTGGACCACGGCTGACCACATGTGACTGAAACCGCAGGTGAGGGGGTGAGCGTCAGCCTGTGTCAGGCTGGACACACCTGGGGGCCTGAGGAGCAGCCGGGGGTGTAGGGACAGGGGCTCCCCACACCCACATGGATGGCCTGTGCAGTCACCAGCAAGGCGGGTTCTGCAGGCCTGTGTCCCGGCCAACGGCAGCCACCAAACCTCTCTGCACTTCTGTTACAGACAAGTCAGAGAGGCCCAGAAAAAGGGACCAAAATTGAAGAACCAGGGAATTTCAGAGGGAAGGGAAGGGAAAATCCAACTGGCAAGCAGACCCCTGGGCCATGTGCTAGGAAGGGGTTCTGCCCAGCGAGGTCTACCCCCAACCAGGACGGGTAGGCAGTGGCCCCAGCACCCCCTGCACCCCCACGGCCCACCAGGGGACTGCACCTCTACAGGAAGGACAGAGGCAGGAGGAACCCCTCAGGGCTGGAGAGTTGCCAGCCACTGCCCGTGCTGGGCCCCGCCCTGAGACAGTGTCTAAGCACCACCCCATGGACAATCCGAACCTGGAGGGGCCTGATCCCGGCCCTGACCCATGCCAGGGGCCCCAGCCGGCACTGCACGCCGGAGATCCGGGCTTTCCTTGGCAAACACGCTTGGCTGTCCTCGTTTCCAAGTCAGCCCTGTTGGTAAAACAGTGAAGCCAGCAGTGAAATACACGAAACCCGAACAGCCCCGGAGTTGGAACTGGAAGCTTCCAGGGAAGACGGCAGTGTCTAAGTGTCTCCCTTAACTGCTGTGGCTGCACCCGGGGTCCTGGGGGTGAGAGGCTTGTGGGCCCTGAAGTCACCTGCTGGATTCCAAAGTGGGCCATGCCAATGCCGTCTGGAAAACATACGGAAAATGTCATTCCCAGGAAATGTGGCACATCATTCACCCTGGACCACGGCACAAGGAAATCAACTCACCCTGGACCATGGCATAAAGACAGACGGGGCCCTCTCATCAGAAAGTGGGGAGCGGGGGTCTCAGTTTCCAAGGACCCCACAAGCGACGTCTACAGGGTGAAAGACCCCGTGCCCAGCACCGAAGGACCTGCCCGACACACAGTCCCCAGCCTTGAGCGGAGACCCCCAGACTGCATACAACTGTGCAAATGCACTTGACCTCCCTTTGGTTGTGAGTCACAGGACTGTCTTAAAAAGAGTGTCTTCTTCCAGTGCCAGAAAACAGAGAGACGGGGGCTGTGAAGCACAGGATCCACAGCGGGCGGGTGGTAGGCGGGCAGCAGGTGGGCGGTAGGCGGGCAGTGGGCAGGCAGCGGGCTGAGAAGCAGAGCAGAGCCCCAGCCAGGAGCCCAGAGGGCGGCAGAGCAGCGGGCACCGAACCAGACTGTCGGACCTGTGCTGGGGGAGAGCGAGAGTGAAGGAGGAAGAGAGACGGAGACAGAGAGACGGTGAGAGGGAGAGGGACAGAGAGGGAGTGAGAGCGCTTCCCACAAGAAGAACCAAGCTCAGGTCCCACCCTCCCCCAGAGCCTGGTGCAGCTGCGTGGGACGGGCAGGAGGTGCGAGGGGCCCTGTCTCTGACGTTTTGTGCCAGCACTGCCCTCTACACACAAACTCTCAGGAACCATCACGACCCCATTTTGCAGGAGAAGATGCTGAGGCCCAGGGCGGTGAGCAGGCCACATGGCCGGTGGCAGGGGCAGAAGTGGGACTGCAGCCCACCAGGTGGTGTCACAGCCAAGGCTGCGGCGTCACTGCCTGTCCTGCCTCACCTACCCCCAGGGCGACGCTCCCGACTAAACCACCTCTGTCCTATGGTCTCCGGGGCTTCCTGACCCCTGGGGAGGGCGGCAAAGCCTGTGGAGGCTGGAGTCCTGTGGGCTGGGGACGACGGGAAGACCAAGTCGTCTGTATAATCGCCGTGGGCGCAGCCGGCAGTGCCACCCACCCACCCACAAGGCAACACGGGGCCTGAGTCCAGCCCCAGGCAGGTGGGCTCCCAGAGTTGGGGTCCCTGAACCAAACCACCCCTGCTGCTCGCTCACCCCTAAGAGTGAGGCTGCGATGCTGTCAGCCAAGGACACTCACGTGGGCAGCTCCGGTGCAGCCGGCCCCAGGGGGAGAAATGCAGCTGTGGCTGTCGTGGAGGTGGCTGTGGCCAATGGCCGTGACTGTTGCTGTGTCTGGCAGAGAAGCCAGGTGCACTGGCTCTGTGCTTCAAGGAGACCTAGAGGGTCTCCCCCAAGTCCACCGGAAATGTGTGCACATTCGCCCTACCCCACTGTGTACCTGGCCCAAGTCGGGAGAGATGCCCAAGAGACCACAGCCAGCCTCAGCACAGTGAAGGCTGCCCTGGCCCTTCGGGGTGTCTGGGAAGAGCCTGGCATTCTCTCTGGGGTAGCTCTCACCCTTGCAAAGCACAGAGAACACCAAGAGCCCCAGACACACACTACATCCAAAGGGAAGGTCGGGCGGCTCCCAGACGGGGGACGGGGGGACGGGGGACACAGAACCAAGCCGCCGAGGAGCACCTGACACCGGAGCCCGAGTCTCGGCTCAGCACCACCACCCCCGATGCGTCCACACTGCCACGGCCACAGACACCCACCCCCGATGCGTCCATGCTGCCACAGCCACGGACACCCACCCCCGATGCGTCCACACTGCCGCCGACCACAGACACCCACCCCTGATGCGTTCACACTGCCCCCGGCCACAGACACCCACCCCTGATGACACCGGAGCCCGAGTCTCGGCTCAGCACCACCACCCCCGATGCGTCCACACTGCCACGGCCACAGACACCCACCCCCGATGCGTCCATGCTGCCACAGCCACGGACACCCACCCCCGATGCGTCCACACTGCCGCCGACCACAGACACCCACCCCTGATGCGTTCACACTGCCCCCGGCCACAGACACCCACCCCTGATGCGTCCACACTGCCCCGGCCACGGACACCCACCCCCGATGCGTCCACGCTGCCACAGCCACGGACACCCACCCCCGATGCGTCCACACTGCCGCCGGCCACAGACACCCACCCCTGATGCGTTCACACTGCCCCCGGCCACAGACACCCACCCCCGATGCGTCCATGCTGCCACGGCCACGGACACCCACCCCCGATGCGTCCACGCTGTCACGGCCACGGACACCCACCCCTGATGCGTCCACACTGCCACGGCCACGGACACCCACCCCTGATGCGTCCACACTGCCCTGGCCACAGACACCCACCCCCGATGCGTCCACGCTGCCACGGCCACGGACACCCACCCCTGATGCGTCCACACTGCCACGGCCACGGACACCCACCCCTGATGCGTCCACGCTGTCCCCGGCCACGGACACCCACCCCCGATGCGTCCACACTGCCGCCGGCCACGGACACCCACCCCCGATGCGTCCACACTGCCCCAGCCACAGACACCCACTGGTGATGCGGCCTGAGATGCCACCACACCCTGGCCAGAGGCTCAGTCCACAGCCCATACCCCATGACCTGTACCCACAAAACCTGCAGCTAGCAAGAACCGGCCTCTGCCTGACCCTGTCATCAGGGGCGGGAACTCCGGTGGCGGGCACACCCAGCGCAATTACAGGGCGAGCATCCGATGCCCTCCTAGTGGGCCGGCCACAAAGCCTCTCATCAGCCACCCCGTGGAGAACCACAGCCAAAAGCCTGAACCGCACAAGATTTGGCGTCTCAATGGCACCTTCAGAATAGGAGAAAATAGCAAATCGAAACTTTGGTTTTCCGTTCCTTATTTACGACTCAGGACAAGACTGCCTGAGAGAGCAGCAGACTCCAAGTGCAGGCTGCAGTGCAGTGTCTGTTCTGGAGGGGGGGCTACCGCCTCCCCAGCCCACACATGCTCACCCCTCCCTCCCCACACACACGTTCACACCCTCCCCACACACGCTACCCACTCCCCTCCCCACACACGTTCGCCCCCTCCCCTCCCCACACACGTTCACCTGAGCATTGCCCACACCAGCGTCAGCAGCCCTCACAGGAAGGGTGGCCCCCAGGCTCTCGGCCCCCCGAGCCCAGCTTCCATCTCGGGCCATAAACACCCTTTGGCCAATTGGCGCACCCTCCTCCAACAGACTATGACCTCCCCAAGCCCCAGAATCCCTGGAGATGGAGAGCACGCCTGGCCCCCAGTCAGGGCAGGTAGTCTCCAGGGCCAAGCCGTCACCTCAGAAGGGTGGGTGGGGCTCTCCCCAGGAGGAGGGCAGGTCCGGGACTGGGAGGACGACCCCCACGCAAGCCCCCACCCTGCCCTTGGGCTCCAGCCTCATCCCCAGCAGCCGCCAGCCCTCTGAGATGCCAGGGTGCCATGGACCCTGCACTGAGGGGTGCTCACTGGGCAGCCGTGTGACCAGCAAGCAGAGGCAGGTTCACAGCAGCAGTGGAGCTCTCCAGAGGCAACTCCACCAAGGGGTGCCGCAGAGCTCTGTACCCCCAAATTTATGAGGAGCCCGGCTTTGGGAGGGGACACCTAGGGGAAAAGGGCTCAGGAGGCCTCAGCCAAGGAGGAGCAGCACTGGCAGCCCCCCTCCTCCAGCACGGGGACAGGGACCACCGGCATCGAAGCTCCTCACCTGCCTCCTGCCTGACAAGGCCACAGGCACATCCGGGGCCAGCACTGACCAGACGCTCCCTCCGCCTCGCTTCACCCAGCCTGAGGCTGGACGGGAGGCACTGGCGTCTGCAGCACATCCACAGCATTCCAGAAACGACAGAAACCAGGCCAGGCTCTGAGCAGCCCGTCCGTTGTCCTGACACCTGACCATGACGGCATATTTACGGTGTCTTCTCAATCTTTGAAAAATATTTTTAAGAGAACATGAGAACAAATCAATATTCCAGTGGCCTAAGGAAGTCAGCTAGCTGTGAAACTATTACGGTAAGCTACACAGTGGGGGAATCAGCGTGGGGGAAAGGAAGCGGGCATTCCACAGTGCAAGACTCTGACACACAGAGCGTCTTGCACCCGCCCTGAGCTGAGCAGTCCTGACCCTAAAGAGCTGCCATTCCTCTGGGGCCACGGCAGGAAATCGCAGGCACTGAGTGGGAGGAAGAGGATGACCGGGTGTTGGGATGGGTGCACATCGCAGAGCGGCACACGGCAGCCTCCGGATGGGCGCATGGCAGAGCGGCACACGGCCTCTGCTGTCTTTTCCGATGAACTTTCAATAATACATAGAAACATATGGGTTTAATGTTTCCTGTGTGTGTTTACAGATGTGTGTTTAATATTGAATATGTGTGCGCGCACCGTATCTCCACGGAGCAAAATAAGAATGGAGAGAAACTAACGCAAAGAAAGACGCTAACGTGCCAGGCTTTCAGTGGGGACAACTTCTCATTCTTGAAAACTTAAAATTAGCTTTTCCAAAACATCTATAAAGCAACAGAAATGCTTACAAATTTAACAGCATTTGAGATTATTGTAAATAAAAATGATAGGTCTAATTTTTCTTTTGCCAACATTTCCTTCGTTTATATTGACAGTCAACTCATTACGTGTAACAATAATGGCAATTTTTCCTAATGAAGTTTAAACATAAAATATAAAACAATGTAATTCGGAGCTTTGTAAATAAATGCCCATTTTACTTAGCGTAGGTGTAGAAATTCACACCCAAGTCCCACTTAGAACACGCTTCCCGCTCCGGAGCATAAGCCCCTGGCGTGGGGAGGGGTTGGGCTCTGTCTGAACTGATCACCACCACTGCTTTATTAATTGTTTTTGGCTTAACACCTGAACCAGCTGGGTGCAAACTATGACACACATTACAAAACCACCTGTCCATCCTCCAGGCACATGGAAGGCACACGGCCCACAGAAACCAAACTATATGCTGCGTCCCATTTAGAAAGCTCTGCGTATGTTTAAAATTAAAAGTCTTATAAGGAAACTATTTTTCTGTATTTTAAAATGTTCTTAATTACAAAGAAATAGATATTCATTCTAGCCAGTTAAGTCTCCAGGTAGAAAAAGTTAACTCTTTTCCCTCCCTCAGCCAGGCCCCCCCAGAGCCACATCTGGCAAGGACGGCTTGGTGTGCACGCCCACACCTCCTCTCTCGTGCACGGCCACATCTGGATCAGATGTGCAGGCATTTCAACATGGCAGTCTCCATCCAGCCACGGTCTGCGGACAGCGTTCAGGCTCCAGCCTTGACCCTGGGCACCTTGACCCTCACGGGGTACGTGGCCTGTGTGTCTGCCTTTGTGTCCTGGTCCTCGCAGGGGACAGGCCTGTGTGTCCCACGTTCGTGTCCTGGTCTTCGCAGGGGATGTGGCCTGTGTGTCCCTCCTTCGTATCCTGACCCTTGCGGGGGACGGGCCTGTGTGTCCCTCCTTCGTGTCCTGACCCTCGCGGGGGACGGGCCTGTGTGTCCTGCCTTCGTGCACCCTGACACCATGGGTCTGATTTTCCCACGCTGGAGGTCTGCTTCTGAACAGCTGCATCTCCTCCTGCAGGGGAAGCTGTCTGTTCACCCAGGTGCCTGTCCTGTCTGAGGGCTGGGCTCTTCCTACCCAAGGGTTGGGGGCTGGCCTGTCCCTCATGACCCAGGCAGGCGGCCAGGGCTCCCCGGAACTCCAGGCTGCTGCGGGTGTCTGCTCTGCCCTGGGTGAGGCTCTAGAAGATTCCTGTGGAAGCGACTGTGTCTAGGGGAGCCCATTCCCCAGTTTAAAGGACGTCCCCCCCCATGGCTATCCACATGCCCAGTCCTCTCAGGAAGTTCCAGGCTGCCAGGATCAGAGGAAGCAGAAGCCGCTGTCCTTCAGCAGGACCCTGCAAAAGCAGGATGAATCAGCGGGGCCATTCAGAACAAGGTTCAAATTACTGCTGCACTTTTCAGAATGGAGCCAGGCTCAGTGTTTCAGAACCAGAGGCTGACGCGGATCAGCTCGCACCCAGCCTGGGACCTGAGCCAGCCCCTGAGTGCCACTCTCCACGGCCGCCTCAGAGGGTAAGCCTCTCCAAGCCTGCTTCCTCGCCGGCATGGTGGGGGTGGCCCTGCCATCCCCTAGGGGCTCTGCGGGATCCCCTGAACACTACGAAAAACCTGAGCCCCACTCCTGGCCACTGGGTAAGGACCTCTCCGAGCCTTTCTCCTTCCCATTCACTCCCACCCCCAGGCAGGAGCGACCAGTGCTGAGAAGTCCTATCATCCCACAACCCATCATCCTCCGTCATCCCCTGTCCGTCACCCCGCAGCTGTCATCCCCCATCACCCCGTGTCTGTCACCCCGCGTCTGTCACCCCATGTCTGTCACCCTGCATCCGTCACCCCGTGTCTGTCATCCCCGTCCGTCACCCCATGTCTGTCACCCTGAAACCATCACCCCATCTGTCACCCCACATCCGTCATCCCGTGTCCATCACCCCGCGTCCATCACCCCCATCCGTCACCCCATGTCCGTCACCCCATCCATCACCCCGCGTCCATCATCCCCCATCCATCACCCCCCGTCCGTCATCCTCCGTCCATCACCCCACGTCCATGATCCCCCGTCCGTCACCCCGCATCCATCACCCCATGTCCATCACCCCACGTCCATCACCCCATGTCCATTATCCCCTGTCTGTCACCCCGCGTCCGCCATCCACATCCCATCACCAGGTGCTGTTTTCTTGGTGCTAGAGCAAGGTGGGATTCACACCTTGTGTGCACAGCTTCTGAGTCACTGGGCGGCTGGGCACAGCCTAACTCAGGAGCAGGGACCCACGGAGGGTGTGGCGACGACACAGCCCTCAGCTTGCTCTCCAGGAGTTCTTCTGATACCTCGAGGACACTCTGGACCCTGTGTCTGGGTCCCAGCCCTTCCGTAACAACGTGGCTCCTCTGAATCAGTCACAAGGAAGATCCAACTTAACACAGAGAGTTTTTCCCAAACAGCAGAACTGGCAGCAACACAGGCATCCTGCAGTTCAGTCCACTGCATGCAGCGTGCAGGTGTCGGAGGGCGAGGCTGCCGTGGGCTCCCGGCGGACGGTGGCAGGGCAGGCCCAGGTCTCTATCACAGCAAGGCCTCTCCACTCGGCCCCCTCCACCTGTTTACAACCTCAAGCTGGGTCAAAACCCCAGGGGTACTCAGAGGGAGTGTTTCTCCCCAACTGGATTCCTTAAGCCAGAGGGCAGGCGGCAGGGTCCTGGCCTGACAAACACACACGGGCCCCCGAACACGACCGGCTCCGTGACCGTCACAGGACGTTCAGGTGGCTTCATTTTCAGTCCACGCCTCTGGTGCCAGGGTCTTGCTTGGCACTTGTGTGAACGGCGACCACGTGAAGCCTCTGTCTTGAGAAAAGTGTAAACAGCAGCTGCCTTTCAAGGCACTGAGGCCTTCCTCGAACTCAGCTCGTTTGTGCTGCGTGGTTCCCAGTCCAAACCCTCCTGTTCACAGCCTCCTCTTGCCTCAAGCATCTTAGAGCTCCACTCCAATCCACACCCCAGCTGCCTTTTACAAAATCCCAAGCCAATGACAGCTTGAAAATAAAGTGAGAAAAACACCGACCAACATTTACTCAGCACCTACGGTGGGCTGCGGACGTTGACACAGGGTCCTCTCTAATCTTCCATACAGATCAGCCATGAGGGCCGCGGAGAGGAGAAAAGCACAGCTGAGCTGTTTTCTCTTAAAGCAACATAAACGTCAAAGCAAAACTGGAGCCCAGGACTCTCTGACTTAAGCTCATCCTCCTTCTGCTCCATCCCGGCTGTGCACACCTGGAGACCAGGCCCTCGAGCCTCCAAACGCCGTGAGCAGCCTCCTCCTGCTGTGGCTTCCAAAGAGACGTCACCAGAGGCGGGGCTGGCGCAGGGCCACGAGGCAGGCGACTGGGTCTCTTTGACCGGGGGTGGCCTCGCGGCGGCACGAGACTCAGCATCGTGTGGGTCTAGCTCTGGGAATCGAGGCAGCCCCCAGAACACCCTTGGGGCGCAACTTCCCGGTGAACGTCCCGTCTCCTCAGCCACCCACAGATGCTGCCACAGCTGCACCCTCAGGGCAACGAGCGTCTGGCGGAGCCCAGTGAGAGCCGTGAAACACAGACCTCAGGGCCAGGCCCTCTCCCCATCACAGAAACCTGACCAGTCACAGGTGGCTGCAGCCTGGGTGGTTGGTAAAAGAAAAATTATTCCTTCTATAACCAGAAAAAAATAGTGAATCAACAGACACAGAAATGCTCAGAATAAAACAAAAAATCTAAGTCAGTGGGACAGAATTCAGCAGTCCCCAGGGGGGCCTGGAAGCTGGACCCCTGCTCTGGGTCTACGGGCTTACATGGCTGCCAGGACCAGGGAGAGACAGACCCGGGCCCCTGACCATACCCTGTGCTGTAACGCCTGCAAGGTAGATTTTAAGTAATTTAAAAATTATCAAAAGGATAACATTTCATGCCTGTGAACATTACGTGCAACTCAAATCTCAGTGTCTGAAATAAGGTGAAATGGATACAGTCCGGCTCACTGGACGGCACCGTGCCTGCGGCTGCTTCCCTGCACAGCTGCATGACCCCTGGCCCTACACAGGACAGGTTCTGCGCACTCGGCCGCCACCTTCCTTACACGGCTTCTCAGGAAAGCAGCAGGCAGCTGTGGCCCAGCGTGAGCCGGCAAAGCACTTCCCTCCCAGAGCCCCGTTTCCTCATCAGCAACAAACACAACAAGCTTCCTCCCCTGGCTGCTGTGAGGACCGACAGCCCCTCCTGGCACCTGCACAGGGCATGACACGCACATCACAGCCGCCTTCACCCGCTCAGCCTCCCGCGTCCCCACAGCCCGGACCGGAGCCTCAGAGCACCAGGACACACCCATCCGGACACCGGCAGGTTTGACACCACAGACTGTGCTTGGCTGGGGAGTGAGAATCCTCCTGAGAGAGCCACGGTGTCCCAGGTCGGGGGCAGCAGAGTGAGGGTCTGGCCGTGGGCCCCGGTCGGGGGCTGAGCCACGCTCTGGTCAGGAAAGACATCGCCAGACACCTGTCATAATCCAGGGCTGCTCAAAGTAAAAAAAAAAAAAACCTAAAACTGCAACATGGAACGGCACAAACGAGCTGCAGGCCGAGTTCTAACGGGCTGAGCCTCAAACCAGCTGCAGGCCGAGTTCTAACGGGCTGAGCCACAAAGAGCTGCAGGCCGAGTTCTAACGGGCTGAGCCTCAAACCAGCTGCAGGCCGAGTTCTAACGGGCTGAGCCACAAACGAGCTGCAGGCCGAGTTCTAACGGGCTGAGCCTCAAACCAGCTGCAGGCCGAGTTCTAACGGGCTGAGCCACAAACGAGCTGCAGGCGGAGTTCTAAGGAGCTGAGCCTCAAACCAGCTGCAGACCGAGTTCTAACGGGCTGAGCCACAAACGAGCTGCAGGCCGAGTTCTAACGGGCTGAGCCTCAAACCAGCTGCAGGCCGAGTTCTAACGGGCTGAGCCACAAACGAGCTGCAGGCGGAGTTCTAAGGAGCTGAGCCTCAAACCAGCTGCAGACCGAGTTCTAACGGGCTGAGCCTCAAACGAGCTGCAGGCCGAGTTCTAACGGGCTGAGCCTCAAACGAGCTGCAGGCCGAGTTCTAACGGGCTGAGCCTCAAACGAGCTGCAGGCCGAGTTCTAACGGGCTGAGCCTCAAACGAGCTGCAGGCCGAGTTCTAACGGGCTGAGCCTCTAAGGAGGGAAACGTCACTTCCTGCCTCACACAGAGCCCAGCGTCTCCATGTCCACTGATAGCCTTGGTATTTGCAACTATGTCCATGACCATCTCTGTTTCTCCAAAACAGCCTCTAGCTACATAAACTGTTTAGAAAACCTCATGCGTAAAGCAGAGTATGTCAAACCTCCATCTGTGGTCAGGAGTTAGGACATCCCCAGCTGCAATTTGAGCAAAGACGGCGCTTCCAGAGGATCATCGGATCCTGTGTCTTGGTTGGGGTTGGGGCCCATCAACTTAAAATAGCTTCTGTTTATGCTGGTGAAGGAGGCACAGACTTCACCCTATCTAATTCCAAGGAACAGGCGAGGGTGGGAGCTGTAGCGGAAGAGACAAAAGCAAAAGGCAGATTCGCCCCTTTGTGTGGTCCCGTAAGTGACACTGTCCCTCCCTCTCCCTGGAAACAGCAGCCCCCAGGCACCCCCCCCAGCAACTGGGACAAGGGCACACCAGGCTAATTTTTAATCAGATGGATTTAGTGATAGCAAATAAAGAGAAGGAGAACAAAACCCTCAGCCAGGCTATTGTGAATGGGTGTTACCAAAAAATGGCATTAGCAGGGCACCAGGGGCCAGGCCAGCTCCAGGCAGCCCCGCATCTGCTCAGCAATCCCCGGAGTCTTCTAGGGGGCCTGGGGCAGCCGGAACCTGGCCGGGTGGAGGATTTCTACCACGAGAAAGTCAGGGCCCTCCCCGAAGGAGCAGAAGCTCTGCGGGTGACTGTTTGGGAAGCTGGTCTGCTCCTGATACTCTGCAGGAAGAGAATCACACTCTTTAGACCGGGGTCTCAGATTTCAGCCGGACGGGAACTCTCTGCAGGGCCGGTGGAAAGAGATCGCCAGCCCCAGCTCTGTAGGGGTGCGGCCTGCCTCGAGCACTTCACACGCGTGCCCGGGGATGCTGGTGCTGCAGGTATGGGGACCCCGCTAGGAGAGCCCCGGGTTAAGGGTTGGTAACTGGAGAATGGGGTGGGGGTATGCCAGCTCTCCCTGCTTGCCCTGGTCCCACACACTCAGGCCTGTGTGGCCAGCGTGGTCCTCCTTTCCCACAGCCAAGGTGCCCCGACTGCCAGCGTCCACTCCCCGTGGGGCCGCAGGGTACACCAACATCTGAGGCAGAGGCACCGCTGTGGGCTCATCTCTCAGCTCAAAGGGTTTCCAAGAGAATCCTCAGCAAAAAAGCAACACTCGCCGTTCAGAGAGTGAATGAGAGGCCAGCAGGGGGCTGGGAAGGTGCTTAGCTCAGGGAGGGCTGGAGGGTGGGACTAGGAGGCACTAAAGGCCTGGGGGCTCAGAGAAAGGCCCAGCCCATCCCAGCAGAGGCCGACCAGGACTCCAGAGCCCGTGGAGGCCCTGCCATGCACGGGAAGCCTTTCCCGACTTGGGGGCAGGAGCTGGAGGGCTGGGATGATCCTAAGGGGATGCTCGGCCATAAGCCACATGCCAAGTCCAGAGCCCAACAGCTGCTGTACCTCCTGGGCTGTTTCCACGGATGAGGCTTCTCTGAATGTAAGTTTGTCTGCTCAGCCACACCGGCCTCCTCCTGGCACATCGTCTCTCACAGGCACCTCCTTCCATGGAGACTGGGGGCCTCAGACGGCTCTTCCCGACAGGGCCCTGCACTTGGGCAGATGCACCTGTGGCTTGAGCTCAGCACAGCACATAGTGGCTGGCAAGGAACGGAAGGAGAATTGGAGAAATGTATCTAAAATGTCAAGCAGACCTCTGCTACACTCACTGGGAAGAACCATGTTGCTTCTGACGAATTTCTTAAAAAGAGAGAAAGATGCCAATGAGAAAACCAGAGGGGACAAATGCTACCCGGGAATGTAAAACAGTTGCCATCAGAGACTGGCTGGCTCACATTGTGTCCACCAATCCACCCACCACGGCGAGTGATGTCCGTACAGCTCACACCGCATCCATCAATCCACCCACCACGGCGAGTGATGTCCGTACAGCTCACACCGCGTCCATCAGTCCACCCACCATGGCGAGTGATGTCCGTACAGCTCACACCGCGTCCATCAGTCCACCCACCATGGCGAGTGATGTCCGTACAGCTCACACCGCGTCCATCAGTCCACCCACCATGGCGAGTGATGTCCGTACAGCTCACACCGCGTCCATCAGTCCACCCACCATGGCGAGTGATGTCCGTACAGCTCACACCGCGTCCATCAGTCCACCCACCATGGCGAGTGATGTCCGTACAGCTCACACCGCGTCCATCAGTCCACCCACCATGGCGAGTGATGTCCGTACAGCTCACACCGCGTCCATCAGTCCACCCACCATGGCGAGTGATGTCCGTACAGCTCACACCGCGTCCATCAGTCCACCCACCATGGCGAGTGATGTCCGTATAGCTCACACCGCATCCATCAATCCACCCACCACAGCAAGTGTCTGCGATGTCTGTAGTGTCTGCGATGTCTGTAGTATCTGCAATGTCCATGCAGCTCTCACCATGTCCATCAATCCACCCCACCACGGTGAGCGTCTGCGATGTCCGTGCAGGGGAGAGAGACCTGGCCTATCCTCAGCACAGCCCATGTGACGTTAGAAAGGCAACCGCAAATTCAGCTGCGGAGTGCAAAACGAATTTCCTCCTGTCACACGCTAACTTTCTGTTCTGGATTTCCTGGGGTTTCCTTTATTAGACTTGAGTCCAGAACTCCTCTAGAAACATTCTCTGGGATATCTTGACCTGGCACGCAGAGGGGTGAAGGAACGGGGACACGGATGGATGGAGGGAGATGAACTAATCAGCAAATGCTCCTTGCACATTTCCTAGCTCTGTCAGCCAAAGTGAGGTCTGACCACAAAAGCTACCCATTCACTTGCTAAATGGTGCAAAATGGGCCCAGACCCTCATTTTACCTTTACTTAAATAACAGCATATTCTCGTCTGGTCTTTAAACCACACAGGCCAAAATGAGTTGAGCACTATCACATATTTAATTGACTCGTAAAAGCAACTTGTTTTTCTTCATCCTTCGCCGACCTTTGTTTATGGGTAACCCTTGATAACATGTGGGCAGGGTTTCAGTGTAAACCCGAGGGCAGGTTAAACACGCTCCCTCCAAAGCTTACTTGGCTTTGATTTTTCAACCACCCGCCCTCATGTGCAGGGACAGGGCAGAGTCGTGACCAACAGTGGAAAGACCCATAGCTCCCAGCTCCAGGGACGACGCGGGGGTGCTAAGCTGGTAAGCTGGGAAATTCCCGGGCACGACCCCTGGCCGTGGGTGAAAGCACCCCCAGCCCCACCCCCAGCTGTGAGATGCTGCAGGTTCCCCAGCCCCACCCCCAGCTGTGAGATGCTGCAGGTTCCCCAGCCCCACCCCCAGCTGTGAGATGCTGCAGGTTCCCCAGCCCCACCCCCAGCTGTGAGATGCTGCAGGTCCCGGCAGGAGAAGGCTTCTCCACAGAGAGGCCGCTGAACAAGGCACAGGGCCAGGTCTGGCCGTGTAAAAATACTTGGAACCCATGGGGGGCTTTGTGTGTGGTGTCATCGGCAGCTTCCATTATGTCCAGCGGTAACATGTTTACGGTCCCTGTGCCGCCGTGCGGTAGCAGTTTTCCCGAGTGTCTCCTGGCTGGGACGGCTGGTGAGGATGTGAGTTCAATAGATGAACACCCCACCTTGGTGACACAGAGGCTGGACAGTCACACCGACCCTTGGCCCGGGCGAGGCCACGTGTCCCACAAAACATAAGGCTTGGGTTAGTGTCGGGCACGCGGGGGAGGTGCCTGCCTGCGTGAAGACTGGTCACAAGACAACTTCCCAGTTTAGAAAATGGTTAACTGATTCATTAATACTCACTTCCTGTCGCAAGAGACTCATGCCCTAGAGATAAAGCCGTCGGAGGCAGAGTGCAGGCCTCGAAGCAGCTGGTCATGTCCACGCCCTCTGCAGGCCTCGTGTCCCCCTCGCTGTCGCCTGCCGATTTGGTGGCTCCTCTCATAACACACAGCCTCCTGTGTATGTTTTTACCCTACAAACGCTCTCTAACCGGTCCAGAGGTCAGAAACAGCCGCAGTCTCCTACCTCTATTGCTTCTCAAGGGAAAAGCACAGCCTGGAATGATGAGGAGCCCCCACGCCTTCTCAGTCTCCTGTAACGACGTTGCTACAGATGTATGTGTTTGTGTGAAGCTGTATTTAAATGTGAGATTATTCTTCTTGGTTAATATTTTACTTTCTGTCATAACCAGCAGGCTTAAAGAAGAAACCCAAACGCTCTGTGAATGGGACATGTGCTCAGAGGCGTCTGCAGTTGAGGCGGGTGACGTTCTGGGGTCCCTGGGAAGTTGTCATCACCCTGCTGACATGAGTGTGGATGTTGAGGCCTGGAGGGTGACAGGTCACACAGCCAGAGCCTGGCAGCAGCGCAGGGGCGGAACCCCGGGTCCCCTGTGGGCCTGTGCCCTCTCGGCCAGCCTTGCAACGCGCAGCTAACGCTCTTCAAGAAAACATTCTCTGGAGGAATCCTGCTGGTCCTGAAGTTTTTGGCCTTGAGAAGGTCATCACAGACACCCCTCCCCTCGGGCCAGGCCTGCTGTCTTGTCTAAGGGGCCCTATTTTATCTGAGGTGATTTGCAACTCTGAAACACACATACATAAAATAGAAATACCGTCCTCACTATTAACCTAGAGACCCCCATCCCTACCCCTCCCTATGAATGCTTTTTCATAAACATGCCGCATTCTGAGGAATCCGAAAGACTCCAGCGTAGGACAGACCGCTGTTCCAAGCCACTGGGAAAGGGGAAACTGGTGACTGAGCGGCGCCCGTCAGAGCCATTAAAACGTGAGGGAAAACTGCACCTTACGGCACACGAACCCTTAGAAGAGGCAAAACACTACTGAGTTAATGCTTAATTTATTTGTAATGATAAAAGTTTTTATCACTTTAAATAAAGTTATTTGAAAAAAGTTATTCAATGGCAGCCTAATAATTTTGCTTAATGAAAAATTAACTCTGCAAATACAGTTTCCACTATTCACATGGAGCCTGCAGGTTTGGAGAATCCTCTGCATCAGTGTGGGTGAGCACGTGTGTGAGGGGTGCACGTGTGTGAGGGGTGCACGTGTGTGAAGGGTGCACGTGTGTGAGGGGTGCATGTGTGTGAAGAGAGCACGTGTGTGAGGGGTGCATCAGTGTGGGTGTGCACGTGTGTGAGGGGTGCACATGTATGAGGGGTGCACGTGTGTGAGGGGTGCACGTGTGTGAGGGGTGAGCACGTGTGTGAGGGGAGCACGTGTGTGAGGGGTGCACGTGTGTGAGGGGAGCACGTGTGTGAGGGATGCACATGTGTGAGGGGTGCACGTGTGTGAGGGGTGCACGTGTGAGAGGGGTGCACGTGTGTGAGGGGTGCATGTGTGTGGGGGTGCACGTGTGTGAGGGATGCATGTGTGTGAGGAGAGCACGTGTGTGAGGGATGCATGTGTGTGAGGAGAGCACGTGTGTGAGGGGTGCACGTGTGTGACAGATGCATGTGTGTGAGGAGAGCACGTGTGTGAGGGGTGCACGTGTGTGAGGGGTGCATGTGTGTGAGGGGTGCACGTGTGTGAGGGATGCACGTGTGTGAGGGGTGCATGTGTGTGAGGAGAGCACGTGTGTGAGGGGTGCACGTGTGTGACAGATGCATGTGTGTGAGGAGAGCACGTGTGTGAGGGGTGCACGTGTGTGAGGGGAGCACGTGTGTGAGGGGAGCACGTCTGTGAGGGGTGCATGCAATGCTCCTGTATGCACATCTGTGGGTGAGCACGTGCGTGAGGGGTGCACATCTGTGGGTGAGCACGTGCGTGAGGGGTGCACATCTGTGGGTGAGCATGTGCGTGAGGGGTGCACATGTGTGAGGGGAGCACGTGTGTGAGGGGTGCATGCAATGCTTCTGTATGCACATCTGTGGGTGAGCACGTGTGTGAGGGGTGCACGTGTCTGAGGGGTGCATGTGTGTGAGGGGTGCACGTGTGTGAGGGATGCACGTGTGTGAGGGGTGCATGTGTGTGAGGGGTGCACGTGTGTGAGGGATGCATGTGTGTGAGGAGAGCACGTGTGTGAGGGATGCACGTGTGTGAGAGCACGTGTGTGAGGAGAGCACGTGTGTGAGGGGTGCATGTGTGTGAGGGGTGCACGTGTGTGAGGGGTGCATGCAATGCTCCTGTATGCACATCTGTGGGTGAGCACGTGTGTGAGGGGTGCACGTGTGTGAGGGGTGCATGCACACACACCTGTAAGCATGTGTGTGAGGGGTGCACGTGTGAGGGGTGCATGCACACGCACCTGTGTGCACATGTGGATGTTGCCGTGTGCACGTGTGCACACCAAGTGTCCGTGAGTGCACGGGAACAGCCGTTTAGAAGTGCCTTAATCTTCCCGAGCACAATAGTAGCTCACCTCTGCAAGGAGGCTGAAAATTCTCATTATGAGTCTCATAAATACGTGGCCACGTTCATGGGTTTGTCTTATTTATCCCTTACTCTATAATAACTTGGAAGGCACAGCCAATATTTCCCTTATATCCTGGGACAGCCCCAGTTCATGGCTCCCGACGACTGCAGCTGCCTCCTGGGAACCCCAGGGGGGCAAACTCAGGCCCACCCCCGCCTGTGTGACTCAAACCCCCCAGCCAAGTGCCTGTGGGAGGACATTTTAGTGGGTGGGGAAGCTTCTGAAAAATCACTTTACTCTAACTAATATTTGTAATTAACACATCAAGTAAAACTAAAAGCTTTTGCCTTGCCGTTGTTGCCTTTTGGTGGGTGACCTCAAAAAGTCATCCATCTCACACTGACTCTATCACATCCCAACTCTAGCCCCAAATCCTAATAAACACACCAGTTAAGAATGCATGGCACATTTTTACAAGCCTCACAACTTTCTGATTAGATGCATAGAAATGTCCCAAATATTTCTGAAATATTTTATTTGAAAACCGATGTCACCGCCACTTTTAAGCCACAGGCATTACACTAAAATCTGGACTAGCGTCTAAGCAAGTGGCAGCTTTTGAGCTCCGCACACTCCGTGTGACCATCCACAAATCTATGATGAATTATTAACCAGACCAGGCTAGCCCACTGCCTGGCCTTCTCTGCTGAAAGTCAGCAGCTGTATCCTGCCTGAAAAACACCAGCATTCTTGTGTTCATAAAACCCGCTGGTTCCAGTGCAGCTACCCAGAGGGAAGCCTTGGGTGTGGGCAGCGACAGGGGTGTGGGTGCCACCGTGGGGTCCCCCAGAAGGAAACCAGGGGAGCACAGAACTAAATGGTCACCCATGACAATGAATCGTGATCTGGTGGGAAGAAATCAAAGTGCTTTTATTTGGAGATGAAATTGGCTGCCTGCCCCTCCCTCTCCACCCCCCGCTTTCCTCCTGACCCACCCACCCCAGCTCTTTTCCCCGGCCTGGGAAGGGCACATGGAGGGCAGAAAGGGCTTCCCTAAAGAAAACACAGAAATACACTTTATAAAGCAAAATAAACTTAAAAAAAGGCACTTAGCAAAAATGTAGTGAGAAGTGTTTTTTCCTTTCCAGTCTTTCATTTTCACTCAGCATTTCCATAAACACATTCTTGGGTCCAAATGCTGAGAAACTCTTTCTCTAAATACTGGAGGAGCGCTAAATGGAGCAGGAAATGATGGAGAGAGAAAGGAATGCCACTGATTCCAGACGGATGGGACCAGCTGGGGAATTCAGGAAGCGGTACGGAGGTCCCGGAGACAACTGCTCACGCCTCTGAGGGGCCGATCGCTCAGGATCCCCCAGCAGCAGCGAGAGAACCAGCAGGGCCCCCCTCCCCTCTCCAGCCAGGCGTCGATCAGTGCCCCCCTCCCCTCTCCAGCCAGGCGTCGATCAGGGCCCCTCCCTCTCTCCAGCCAGGTGTCGATCAAGTCCTCACCTTCTCTCCAGCCAGGCGTCGATCAGGGCCCCTCCCTCTCTCCAGCCAGGCGTCGATCAAGTCCCCCCCTTCTCTCCAGCCAGGCGTCGATCAGGGCCCCCCCTCCCTCTCTCCAGCCAGGCGTCGATCAGGGCCCCCCCTCCCTCTCTCCAGCCAGGCGTCGATCAGCGCCCCCCTCCCCTCTCCAGCCAGGCGTCGATCAGGGCCCCTCCCTCTCTCCAGCCAGGCGTCGATCAAGTCCCCCCCTTCTCTCCAGCCAGGCGTCGATCAGGGCCCCTCCCTCTCTCCAGCCAGGCGTCGATCAGGGCCCCCCTCCCCTCTCCAGCCAGGCGTCGATCAGGGCCCTCCCTCCTCTCTCCAGCCAGGCGTCCATCAGGGCCCCTCCCTCTCTCCAGCCAGGCGTCGATCAGGGCCCCCCCTCCTCTCTCCAGCCAGACGTCGGTCAGGGCCCCTCCCTCTCTCCAGCCAGGCGTCGATCAGGGCCCCTCCCTCTCTCCAGCCAGGCGTCGATCAGGGCCCCCCTCCCCTCTCCAGCCAGGCGTCGATCAGGGCCCCCCTCCCCTCTCCAGCCAGGCGTCGATCAGGGCCCTCCCTCCTCTCTCCAGCCAGGCGTCGATCAGGGCCCCTCCCTCTCTCCAGCCAGGCGTCGATCAGGGCCCCCCCTCCTCTCTCCAGCCAGACGTCGGTCAGGGCCCCTCCCTCTCTCCAGCCAGGCGTCGATCAGGGCCCTCCCTCCTCTCTCCAGCCAGCCAGGCGTCGATCAGGGCCCCCCTCCCCTCTCCAGCCAGGCGTCGATCAGGGCCCCCCTCCCCTCTCCAGCCAGGCGTCGATCAGGGCCCTCCCTCCTCTCTCCAGCCAGGCGTCGATCAGGGCCCCTCCCTCTCTCCAGCCAGGCGTCGATCAGGGCCCCCCCTCCTCTCTCCAGCCAGACGTCGGTCAGGGCCCCTCCCTCTCTCCAGCCAGGCGTCGATCAGGGCCCTCCCTCCTCTCTCCAGCCAGACGTCGGTCAGGGCCCCTCCCTCTCTCCAGCCAGGCATCAATGCCGTTCAAGGGGTCTGGACCAACAAGCCCTGGTGGAGAACAATCCCCACAGAGAAACTCCGTGTGACCCTGCCCCACAGATAACACGGAAAGGGACTTTTCATGGTCAGAACCTACTGATCTAGAAGTGATCAAACACTCTCTTCTCCTGACTTCCTGTCACCAGGCACGGGTGAGGAGGAACACCAGCAATTTCTTACTAATTACGGCTCAAGCACCAATGTTTGTCCACCGTTTTCTTCTCACACAGATCTAAGAGGATCAAGATGATTCCCAGAGTAACATCTGTCTCATTTGAATTCCAGTGTGCTTCCCCGAGTGGCACAGCCGAGCTAGTCTTGGGCTCTGGAACAGTCCAAAGACTGGGGACTCCCCTGTAACATGCAGCCACCTAAGAGAACAGGTCAGTGACAAGTAGGGGGAAAAGCTATTAGGAAAAAGAACAAGTTGTGGGCCTAAAAACAAGATGTTTCTTATACAAATACAAAATACTAGAAAATTGCACAGCAGTTGCCAGAAAAGATCCCAAGTTGTGGAAAGTAGAAAGGCAGGTGCATCCCAGCACTGCGGCCGGGGGCAGGAGGCCACCCGCGGGGCATTCGGACCCCCGTGCCCCAAACACATCCCGCCGAGCCTCCTGGGACCAGGCCCCTGAGAGCCACGGGGCTGTCTGGAGAGTGTCCCCAGCCTCAGCCATGTGGGGTAGAATAAAAATGATTAAGAACTGCTTGAGAAGTTTTAAACTGCATGCAGCCTACTCAGCACAGATTGGCCCGTGTCTTCTGCCACGGATCTCGGCTAAAGGAAAAGCCAACAGAAGCCCACCGGAGCCTCCCTTACCTCCACCCAACACTGCACATCAAGCCGTGCAACCCTGCCCCAAACGGTCCCAGGGTCATGGGTGTGCATACATGTGCATGTGTGCAAGCATGTCACAAGAGGAGACCTCCGAGGAACATAAGGATGCGGACTCCTCCCTCAGCCTGAACCTCTGTCTCTCAGGCACAGCTCGACCTTTGACCTTCGGCTTCCCCAGAGAAAGACTTTGAACGCTTCACTCCTCTGTAGCCCTGAGGACGCGGGCGGCCAGACCAGTCCCTGAGTGCGGCACCATGGCCGTGTGAGTTTATGGCCCATTGCGCTAGCCCTGTACAGTGAATGAGATACTAGTTGTTTACAGCTGTGAGCATACACAGGCCCCCCGCCACACGCTCAGGAAGGAGCTTCTCGGAATCTCTCTCCTGCCTCGCACCATGCAGCCGGGCTAGCAGGTTTGTGGGCCGAGTGCAGGAGCCTGCTCCCACTGTCACTGCAGGTGACTGGCTGAGGGGCACACAGGGCCCAGAGGCTCCTACCTCCAGCCACCGCCCCTAAACTAATGAAGATTCCAGTCCGTGGGGCCCACCGCAAATCCCAGAATCTCAGCAGTCAGTCTTGGACATTAGTTGTCGGGGAGGGAGAGGATCTGGGAGGCCAGGCGTCCCTTCCAGGCTGCGCAGCCGGCCACGGCGGCAGAGCTTCCCCAGGCTGCTCCAGCCTTCAGGGCCCCTCCGCGGTCAGCCCCACCCCCGGCCAGCAAGGCTTCCTGAGAAGGCTGAGCTTGGCACCTACAGACTGGGGGGGATCTGGAATTCCCCAGAAAAGCCCTCATCCCAAAGCCCATGGGAAAACCAGCCCTGTTGGAGCATCCCACCCGGACCTCGGAGGAGAGTCCGGCATGGCCAGTCCCCTGGGCTCTGCATGCAGATGGTTTTCCCAGAACCGGTTCCTCTTCCTGAATCTCTGCTAATGGCCCTGTCCATCAGTCTGACCCCAGCCTTGGAAACCCCCATGCAGCCTGGGCCAGAATGAAGTAGGCAACCAGAGGCTCAGGGTGCTTGGGGCCGAACCACCCCCAGCTCCACCACCTCCTTCCTGCCCCCGAGCCGTGCCTTCCCCCGCTGGGTGGGCTTGCTCTGCATCTGGGAGCACCTGGGCCCGGGGGTGCAGGTGGGTTCGCCCCTGCCCATTGGAGGGAAATGTTCTGACATGGAAGCAGAGGGCACAGCATTCAGGAGAACCAGTGGGGCCTCCACACAGGGGGACGCAGCTAGGAAGGGGGTCTCCGGCCGGTCGGCCCCGAGTGAGGGACGCAGCTAGGAAGGGGGTCTCCGGCAGGTCGGCCCCAGCCCTGACTCCAGGCCTGTGCATCTCACTGCTGCCCAAAGCAAGGACCACTGGCTGCCATGACAGCTGCCACAGTGCTGAGCAGGCCCAGCCAACGCTGCATGAGAAAGGGCTCTAGGAAGGAAAAGGCCGCGGCAGCACCCAGCCTCCTTTCTGAGGAAGCGATTCCACGAGCCACAAAAGCGCCTGGGCTGTGGTCATCAGAGTCCACCACAAGACAACCTTCCTGGGTCCCTACACCCTGGACACACCTTCGGTGCGTGCCCGGCATGGAGACGCTCCTGCTGCCGGCATGGCTTTGGGGACAGCACTTTGCTCCTGGAGCCTCAGAGGAGGGGGGCCGGAAACATGTGTCCTGCACAGTCACCACCGGACGCCGAGGTGGCCGCCCCAGCAGGGGCCATGGGCTGAGGCTGGTCCTCAGGCTCCCAGAGCAATGGCTGCTCTGGGGAAGAGAAAACACAGAAGTGACAAGATCAAGGCAAACTAGCTGCTCCAGCACCTCGAGGGTTTGGAACCAAAACAAGAAATCTCCAGAGCTGAAAAGAAGAGTGAAACCTTTTCCTTCAGAAGGAACACAGCTAAAGAGAAGATTTAGGGGTGCACGCAAGGGCCCTCAGGTACTCTGTGCAGCCCCTCAAAGCAGGGAAAAGGCCAGGAATGAAACCTAACGCAGAAATGGGAACTGGCTCCAACGCCACACGAACAGCCAGCCTGGGTCTATCGCGCCCAGTTCAGACCCGGGCTGCAGCTTGGAGACGATGACGTCCAAAAACCAAGCTCCAGGAAGACACAACAACAATCACCCTTAGGCTTTGTCAGGCATCCCAGAGAATCCTCCGTCCTACCCTGGGCACGCCATGCGCACCAGGCAGGGAGGGTGGCTCTCAGCAAGGGGCTGAGGACTCTGGCCCATCCTGGGGCGAGGGAGGCACCCACGGGGTGGGCCATGCGGGGCTGGGAGCCACGGCCCCCATGCAGGTCCTAAGTGGACATCTGTCTGGTCGGTGGTCAGAAAAAGGATCCCCACGGTGTCTAGGAAAGACTCAGACCTCTTACCAACCTCTGGAATTTTATCCTATGGGCAGTCAGGGCCAAGACAGATGATTCTTTACAGGTTGGAAATTATTCGGATAACATAAAAGAAACAATGTAAAGAGGAAAGAACAGGTGCAGGAGTCGTTCCTCGATCAATTCCAGGTCAAGGCACCGGTTTCGGTCCCCAGTGCGGCTCCTGTCTCCTGACCCAGCCCCCCGGCCCAGCCCCCAGAAGCCCGGCACGGTGTCTCTCGGGACCCAGGACACGCAGGTCAGCGCTGCAGCCGTTACTGGCTGTGTTGTGATACCAGCAGGGCACTGACTGTCCCCAGAAGGAACAAAACTGAGACTTAAATTTGGGTGATTGTTCCAAATGTGGGATTCAAGCTTATTTGAAAACGAAAACTAAGAATGCCAAATTTCAGGGTGGCTAGAGCTACAGCCCCAGGAATCCAGCCCTGTCTGCAGAAACACACCTAATATTTTCAGACACTCATAGAACAAGGAACTACTATTTTTGAGAAAATACTCACAGAAAAACAAAATCTCCCAGACACTCTGATGCCGTTTGACCAATAACCCATGGGGAAACTCACTTCCGGGGATCCAGGCCCGACGAGGGCGTTCCCGGGCACCTCGGTGACTCTGAAACTCATATCTACAGCAAAGCTTGAACGTTTGTAACTGTTCACTTTGGACTCTGCGTCACACCCAGAGAGACCCTGAACCATCTGTCACAGGTGACGTAACCCTCAGTTCCCCTTCACCTGTGCCAGAGCCTCCCAGACACAAAGGCTGGAGCCCCAAAACCTGTCAGGGGCCTCTCAGGGGCCAGCCACAACTCACTCCGCCTGTCACTGCTGGACGCCCGCTGCGGCCTGACGGAGCCGCTCCTTCACCTGTCCACATGCATTTCCCACACAGCACATTGTCTTGAATGAAGGCAAGTTATTTTCTTTCTCGGCCTTGGCGTCCTCCACAGCCGACACTGTTCTTGCAATCTGTGAAGGGATGATTTCTAAGCTCCGCCTTTGTTCTTCACTCACTCACCCACCGTATACATAGTTGCACATTGATGCATAATAGACATATACTTGCTGCTACGGAAGGCCTTGTATTCCTGTCTCTCTTCCTACCACAGCACTCCTGCCATCCCACAGGTAATCCAATTAGCAGGCTGTGTGGGTCTTATCCCTGATCTGCGCACACTCATCTGATCTGTGTTTATCATTCTTCTAGGGGGTGGTGTTGGGCGCTCTCATTTTGCTTCTTTTGAATCTTATGCCGTGGAACTTCCTGCGAGTCATGTGGTTTGGCCTGGGCTTAATATGTTCCTTGAAAGCCACAGAGCAGCCCACATGTGGATGCACATGACATAATCACCGTTTCAGTTGGCGATTACTCATTGGGCTGTTCTTGCATTGCTATAAAGAAACACCTGAGACTGGGTAATTCAAAATAAACGAGGTTTATTGGTCACGGTGCTGCAAGCCGTACAGGAAGTATGGAGGCATCTGCTTCTGGGGAGGCCTCGGGAAGCTTCCAGTCATGGCAGAAGGTGAAGGGGGAGCAGGTGTCTCACACGGCGAGAGCGGGGGCAAGAGCGCGAGGTGGGAGGTGTGCCACCGGATCTCACGAGAACTCACTCACTATCGTGAGAACAGCACCAAGGGGATAGCGCTGAGCTGTTCATATAAATCCACCCTCAAGATCCAGTCGCTTCCCACCAGGCCCCACTTCCAACGACGGGGTGACAGTTCGACAGGAGATTGGTGGGGAGACCCCAACTCCTCAACATTGCTTCTACTGTTTGCTATTTGCTCACTCAGCCACTGGCCACAGGTGCTGCTGCAGTAGACACGTCTGTTCATCGCCTTCACCTATGGTTCAAAGCTAGAAGCTCTGGTTGCACGGCAAGCCCCTCCTTTCCTGCGTGAACACAGACCCCTGCTCTGACCCGCGGCTGCGTAAGACGAGACGCGCTCAGTGAGCTGCCTCCCCGACCCCCACCACAGTTCCACAACGGCTGTCCAACCTCGCACCCTCCAGAGGTACCGGCACCTGCTGCCCAACCTCGCACCCTCCAGAGGTACCGGCACCTGCTGCCCAACCTCGCACCCTCCAGAGGTACCGGCACCTGCTGCCCAACCTCGCACCCTCCAGAGGTACCGGCACCTGCTGCCCAACCTCGCACCCTCCAGAGGTACCGGCACCTGCTGCCCAACCTCGCACCCTCCAGAGGTACCGGCACCTGCTGTCCAACCTCGCACCCTCCAGAGGTACCGGCACCTGCTGTCCAACCTCGCACCCTCCAGAGGTACCGGCACCTGCTGTCCAACCTCGCACCCTCCAGAGGTACCGGCACCTGCTGTCCAACCTCGCACCCTCCAGAGGTACCGGCACCTGCGGGGCATGACACCACATCCCCACGGGACCCCGTGTGGCCCCTTCTGTCAACCCATCGGCCAGAGGCCCATCCACACGTCCCACTGGCCCCTCCAGCTAACTTATCTGGGCCCCTCAAAGGCCAGGCCGTGCATCTCATAACACCAGCCCAACCCAAATGATTCCTTCCCTTCCTGAGACCTCACTCTCTCTTCAGGGGCAAGTTCAAAGCTACCCCTCCCAGACCCCCTCCAAGATGACAGCCAAAACCAAAGCCACCTCTCTCTTCAGGAGCAAGTTGAAAGCCATCCCTCCCAGACACCCAGATGACAGCCAAAACCAAAAACAAAAGCCACCTCTCCAGAGTGTGAGCTCTCCCGGATCTCAACACCCTCCTACTTATTAAAGTGTAGCTCTTTTTCAAATTATATATTTGCTTACATAGAAGTCCAGTTCATTACAGACGAACAGATAGCTTCAAATTCTGCTAGAATAATACCTCCCATCTATGAAGATCTGAGCGGGGGAAGTGCCTGGTGCATCTAAGTCCCATTAATCTCTGCAAAAGAAGGCCTTGGCCTCCACTTTCACAAACCAAGAAACCAAGGCAGAGAGAGGTTAGGGGTCATCTAAAATCAAAGAATTGTCAAGAAACGTGGCCAGCACGCAGTCTCGGGTGTCTGATTCCAAGTGGGTTCGCTACGTCCACGTCTCCCCCGAGGGCCCCCAGGAGCTCTCCTCCTCACCAAGCCCCTCCCACCATCGCTCAGCAGCCTTCACTTTCAAAACCTTAGCAGCCATCACTTTGCTTGTGGCTGTTTCCAGCCAATACGTCCACCTCCTTTCTAAACACACACACGTCTATGTTTAAAACATGACGCGCCACCTGCAAACACGGTGCCACAGCCTCAGGGAGACGCCGCTCATCCACTCTGCGCCTGCGCGGTTCACACGCTCCTTAGCTCCAAATGCCTCATTTGCTTCCATTAGCTCCAAAGAAGCAAGTCAAAGTGTTTTCCACCAATGCCAGATTCCCTTCCAGGAATGACGCCCCCAGGGCTGCCTCCGGGGTCCACACTCTGCCCACCAGTCCAGCACCCTGGCTGAGTCCACCTGCCAGGCACCATTTGCTCACACACCTGAAGGCTGGATGGGTGGCTGTGGCCCTGCTTAAAGGATCACCTCTGCATCTCCAAACTGTCTTCCCAGCACACCCTGTGTCTTGGGCCTCCCAGGCCACTGTCCACCCACACAGACCAGCAGCCCCTTCCTTCCTTCCCTGCCTGAACACTGCCTGCCTCGTGTCCCTAAGGTCACCAACAAGTCTCTCTGTTCTCCAGCCCTCCATGATTCCCCCCATTCCAATCCAAGATCACAGAGAAGAAACAGCTCTCCAAACTGACAGGCAGGCTGCAGTGGTGAGCACCTGTGTCCCAGCTACTCAGGAAGTTGAAGCAGGAAGATCCCTTGAGTCCTGGAGTTGGAGAGTTGGAGACCAGCCTGGGCAACACAGTGAGGCCCAGTCTCAAAGAAAAAAAAATTAATGGACAATACTAAGTGGTGAGGAGAAGAACTCGGATCCCAGGAGCCCGTGGAGCTGGGGTGCTTGGGCCCAGATAAATCCGTGGGTCTCCCTTTCTCCACCTCAGTGCCGTGGAGTTTCCAGAGTTTAGATAAAATGAGATAATACATGGAAACGACGCCCTTAGCATCTGCATCCAGCCTCCACACCCACACACGCACAAGAAACCCACTCCCCTTTCCAGGCAAGGCCCGGGCCCCAGGCTGAACCTGCCCCTGCCGGAGCCCCTGCTGTTTCCCAGGTGCAGCCAGGCCCTGCACCTTCGTCCTCAGGGGTTAAAAATAGCACAGGCAGCTTAGCTGAGCTCGGTTAATAAAATATCCAAGTTAATTTTAGCATTAGGGGAATCTAGGATCTCTGATGCCAAGGCCCATGTGTGGCCACACAGCCCCTCCTTACACTGTCAGACAGACACGGGGAAAGCCACGGCGTGGCCAGTATCCCTCCCTCACCTTCACAAAACACTTCTCTTACCTGAGTGAGCCCTAGCCCTCTGAAGACACTGTTGCTACTTTCTCTTATTAAACAGACCATCACCTAATTTGATGCCTGTAACAGCCCTGTGACCAGCGGCCTCCACCTCCCGTGAGGGAGTCCATCAGGCTGAGAGTGTCAGCTGCCACTTCTAGCAGAGCTGGGCCCGGAGCCCTTACCTTCTAGCCCAGGAGCTGGGGCCAGGGAGGCACAGTCCAGGGGACCCTCCAGGCACCCCACTTGTCATTCTCCCTATTCTCACCCGGTGCCACCTCCTCCTGCTTCAGGTGGGATTCTGTTTGTGATCAGGAGAGGGATAGCTGGGGCTGGAGGCCGGCAGCCCCTGGCCCTCACTGCCCCACAGGCCTGCAGGCACCAGCGGTTCAATGTTGGGCCAGACCGGCCGTGGGTCTTCTTCACGGACAAGCTCCAGCCTCACAGGAAGGGAGCAAGAGCCCAGCGGAGCCACAGGCACTGAGCCCAGAGGAGAAAGAAGGGAGCGACCAGAGAGCCACAGGAAGCCCCAGCGGGGAGCCCACGGCAGGCCCGGCCTCCCACGGACGGCATTCCCGGACGCTGACCGCCTCCAGCTCGACGGCAGGGTCACCGCGGTGCGAGAGCCTTTCCCGCCCTGGACCGCGGGGCTGGCTTTTTTTTTTTCTGTAACAGATTGAGAGAAACACCTTGTGTGTTGCTCTTTATTGAACACATGTATCAAGATAAGGCGCCACATTTAAAAACAAGCAGTAAGTATTGTGGAAACGGAAGACATCACTGCGAGGGGAGGAGGCACTGCACGCCTTGGGGGCGGGGGCCCCAAAACAACGCCGTGGCCGTGGCGGAAGTGCCCTCCCTGTGGGTCCCTGACTCATGGAAAGTCCGAAGCACAGGCTTCCTCAAAGCAGCGATCGCATAGGAAGTGTGGCTCAGTCATGCATGATACACAGACTCTACTGTGAAAGGTTAATGACTGTTTCAAAAGACACAGTGTTTAAGATGTTTAAGTGCACAGAAGGACATATCCAAAATGATTCCACAAAACTGAAATGCAGAAAGCCAGATTCTTCAAGACAAAGACTCCAAATTGTTACCACCAAAGCACCTCACTTCTACGTGGCGCTCTCCTCTTATTACCTCACCTGCAAGAGCTGGAAGGACAAAGAAAGAGGAAGGGGGAAAGGAGGAAGAGATTCTTTCCATTTTTCCCAATGTCAACGTCTGAATGAGGCCACACACCACCACACATTTCAAAGCTATTTAAGAATTTAAATGGCCAATGCCCCTATACCTTAAAAAAAGCTCCCAATCCCCCCAGAAATGTGCTGGCTTTTTTTCTTAGTAAGAGTAGTAGCAGAATTGCTTATGGTATAACTTTAGGGACAATTCTTGTTCTGGGAGTGAGGGGGCAGGGTGTTAACTTAACCCTGAACAACACTGCCTTGTACGTTCCCACCGGATGTAGTAGACAATAATTGCCTGGCTTTTGCAAACGGAAAAATGAGGTTATGAAGGGGAAGACACGGGCCCTGGGTCATGCAGCAAGTCACTGGCAGACTCATGGGCAAATCCAGCGCTCCTGGAGACAAGGCTCAGAGGTGAATGACAGCGAGGGGCCCTCAAATCAACCACAGGGGCACCATCTTGTCTGAGCCTTCAAGACCAGGGACTCAGGCAGGGCAAGTCAGAGCCAAGGTTGGCCATGAATGTGGATTAAAGAAAGAGCCTGAGGGGCTCAGTGGCCCCCTGGCACCAGCGCCGCTCAGGGTCATCCTCCACTTCGCTTCTACAGATGGGCTTTCTGCTGGAGCCCCGGGGTATCAGGCCAGCAGCACAGTTACATGAGACTAACCCCAAACCAGCGCACCCACAGGTCACCCTCAGGGTCTCCAGCCCAGACTGCATCTCTGCTCAAATGCAGGAGGTGCCCTGTCTCCCCAGCTACTTGGGGCACAGATACCCCTCAGGCAGCCAGCCCTGCAGGTGACCTCTGGAGGGGAGAGGAAACGGGGACTTCTTGCTGGAGCCACATCCAGAGAGTCGGGCAGCTGGCATTTGGGCCTCTCTACCCGTCCTCACTGCTGCTGCCCCTGGGAGGGTCAAAGGTTCAGATGATATCCAGGCCCCACGTGGGATTAGCAGCCTAAGCCTCAGCTGAGCCAGGGTTTCACTGGCTTGTTTAAAGTGGAGCACAGAGCCTGACCAAGTTGTGGCATCTCCAAACCTCCTTCTCTCCGAGGGATCCTCCAGGGTGCCTGACCCCCACGCCTGTCGGAAGTGGGGCCGAGTGCCCGCAGGCCGGTGAAGCTGCCTTCTGGGAGACTCAGGGTCTGAGTATCTGGTCTGAGACTCTGGTCTTCCCTCGCCCTCCTGTTCTACTTCCCATGCCTTCTGTAAAGTCCTGCCGTGGCCTGAAGTGTAGCCCTTCCTGGAGTACACAGCGAGCATGCTGTGCCGGCTGTGGGCCCCCCACCCCCGAGCCGCAAAGCCCCAGGCCGCCTCTGCCTGCTGCCTGGAGACCTGGCACTGCCCCACAGGGGCACCCACCTCCAGCCCTCCTGCCCCCGTGACTGAGGAAGCCCAGTGCTTCTCACACTCCTCAGACTCGCTGGCTGAGCCAAGCAGCCTTGGCTGAAGGAAAGAGCAGCAAACTGACCCCCACGGGCCGCGACCTTTCCCCACCCAGGCAAGGCGACCTCAGGCACTTCAGGGAGCGCCAGCTCTGGCTTTCTTGTATGAAAGTGACAGCGGATTTAAACCACATTAACAAAAGAAATCCCTCCTCTCTGGACTACTCAAAGCGGAAGTGCTGCCACATCCTAGCTGCAGCGCTTCTGGGCCAAATATCAAGACAGTGTCTCAGCGATGATCCGCAAACCAAAATAAAGCCGACAGGAAACAGCCCGCTGGTTTAGGGGAGCTGGAATGCCTCCGGCAGCATCAAATGTCATCAACAACTGACACTCAGCCCGTTCCCGGAGGCCTCTTCACACGGGAAGAGGCCGGCTGCGAAGTGCGGCTCAGTGGGGGAGAAGGACCGTGGGGACCGCGACACTGCAGGCCCTGGAAGCCTCTCCAGCCTGAACCGCGCTGTGGTCCAGCACACTCATGGCATGAATATGGAACAGTCACTCCAGGAAACGGTCTTGCTCTGGGGGAGGGGGAGGACTTCCACATCACTCTCCCAAGATAAAACAACCAGGGAAAAGCAGATCCCTCCAGATAAACCAGAAGTCCAGACACAGCCTCCTCTCCGGAAACGCCTCCGGGAGCCCACTTCAGAAGCTGCTGAAGCCCAGAGAAAAACCGCAGCCTCGCAGGCCCTGGTCGCCACCAGCTCGCCCGCCACTTCTCAGTGGAAAGGGACGTGGTGCCGATGGGTCCGGGGTCTCCCCGCCCCGCGGGAGCCCTCAGCCAGAACGCCCCACCAGCACACACGCACACATGCACACACACAAACGCGCGCACACACACGCGCCCACACACAAATACACACGCGCGCACACATGCATCCACACACAAATACGCACCCACACATGCACCCACAAACGCACGCGCACACACACCGCCCACACATGGACACACAAACACAAGCACACACAAACACGCGCGCACGCAGGCACAGACGCGCGCGCACAGCAGCAGCAGCGCGCCGGGGCCTCACGCCCCTGGGGAGAAGCGTGAAGGAGCCTCCACATTCCCCGGAAAGGAAGTTTCTGGGCGCAGCGGAGAAAGGGAGATGCCGAGACCCCGACGTCAGTGGATTTGACACCTGAAGTGCAGGCGCCCAGACAGCCTCAGGCGCGCGCACTCCTGCAAACACGCGGGGCACACGCTCGGGCGCACACGCGGACAGACGTCCCTCGGCGCAGGGACCCCACCTCCTCCGCCGCTACCAGGGACCGGGGCCGCTCCGGGCGCAGAGGAGGCGCAGGGAGCCGCGTTACCCCGGAGCCGACTCGACCCAGCCCGAGGCCCGGGGAGGCGGGGAGGTGGGGAGGGGCCGCGGAGCCGGACCAGCCGTTCTCCGGGGAGCGCGCCGCGCCTGGAGGGCGTCTCCGCCGGGGTCCCCAGCAAGGATCTGCGGAGGGGAGGCGGGCGCGGGAGAGGACAGGGTCGGGCCGGGGGGTCGGACGCGTGGCTGCCGGCGGACACTCACCGATCTTGATCTTCACGCTCTGGAAGACCCGGAGCCCCTCGTCCTCCACCGCCATGCTGCGCGTCCGCGCCCGCCGAGCCTCGCCCCAAGCGCGCGCCGAGCCCGGGCAGCTCAGGCCGAGCAGGAGGAGCGGCGGCGCCGGAGCCCCGAGCGCGGCCGAGGGTCCGCCCGCCTGCAAGACCGCCAGTTGGCCGAGGGCGAGGGCGGGGACCGGGAGGCTCCGCCCGCGGCCCGGCCCCTGCTCCCAACTGGCCCGGGCCCTGCAGGGGCGGGGTTGGCAGGGACGGCGCTGGCGGGTGGCGGAGACCCGGGGGGCGCAGGGATCGGCTTCCCCCGAGGCCTCGGCCCCCGCCCCCGCCCCGCGGATTGGCCGCTGAGCGGAAGGGACCCCAGCGGGCTGCCTGGCGGAAGAGACGAAGGAAGGTCGCCGGCGCGGCCCGGGCCCGCTGAGCGAGGCTGAGCGATTGACTCGCGGACGAACTTTGCCAAGAGAAGTTCACGTACAACGATCTGGCAGGGGAGGAATCCCGCGCCCAGCCCCAGCTCCTGAGATGCGATCCGAAGGCACCTGCTGCAGACGCACGAGGGGGGCGGGGACACATACACGCACACACAGCCCCCCACCCCAGACCTCCGGCATGGGCAGGTCCCCCCCCCAAGTCCCCCTGCAGACCCCAGCATGGGCAGGTCTCCCCCCCCCCAGTCCCCCTGCAGACCCCGGCATGGGCAGGTCTCCCCCCCCCAGTCCCCCTGCAGACCCCGGCATGGGCAGGTCTCCCCCCCCAGTCCCCCTGCAGACCCCGGCATGGGCAGGTCCCCCCCAGTCCCCCTGCAGACCCCGGCATGGGCAGGTCCCCCCCCAGTCCCCCTGCAGACCCCGGCACGGGCAGGTCCCCCCCCAGTCCCCCTGCAGACCCCGGCACCGGCAGGTCTCCCCCACCCAGTCCCCCTGCAGACCCCAGCATGAGCAGGTCCCCCCCCAGTCCCCCTGCAGACCCCAGCATGAGCAGGTCCCCCCCCCAAGTCCCCCTGCAGACCCCAGCATGGGCAGGTCCCCCCCCAGTCCCCTGCAGACCCCGGCATGGGCAGGTCCCCCCCCAGTCCCCCTGCAGACCCCGGCATGGGCAGGTCCCCCCCCCAAGTCCCCCTGCAGACCCCGGCATGGGCAGGTCCCCCCCCAGTTCCCCTGCAGACCCCGGCATGGGCAGGTCCCCCCCCAGTCCCCCTGCAGACCCCGGCATGAGCAGGTCCCCCCCCAGTCCCCCTGCAGACCCCGGCATGAGCAGGTCCCCCCCCCAAGTCCCCCTGCAGACCCCGGCATGGGCAGGTCCCCCCCCAAGTCCCCTTGCAGACCCCAGCATGGGCAGGTCCCCCCCCAAGTCCCCCTGCAGACCCCGGCATGGGCAGGTCCCCCCCCAGTCCCCCTGCAGACCCCAGCATGGGCAGGTACCACCCTTACCTCCCTTTCTTCTGTCTCGAGGTCTCCTCCTCCCTGACCTCCTCTCTGAGGAGTATGTTTGTGTGTGTGTATGAACTGTAGGTGTGTATATGAACTGAGACTACACTCCCTCCTCTATGTTGCAAAACTTCATTGCACCCAGTGCCACACACACACCCTACACATATATACACACATACATATACCACACATACACTACATATACATATACATACACATAGACACCACACACAGACACCACACACATACTACACACGTGTACACACATACATATACACACATATACACACACCCTACATACACACACCACATATACACATGAACACATATGTTCATATACACACAACACAGACAGCACACACATATACTACCCATACACATGCACAGACATACACACTAAACATACATACACACACCTACGTGAACATACACAAACACACACACACTGCATGGAGAGGAACAGGAGCTTCATGAAGATAGAGGCCTATTTTTTTCCACTGCTTACCTTCACTTCCTAAAAAGCAGTTCCATGCGTTGAAAGAATGAATGGCCTTTCTTCCCCTGACTGCTGGGAGCCTGCAGCCACAGGGGCCTCTCTCATCCTCAGCCCTTGCAAGCCTGGTGCTCACTGGGGCAGAACAGGAGGTTAAGGCGGCACCCCTGGTTCCAACCCAGAGCCTCTGCGTCTAGCGCTGGCCCTGGGTGGCGTCTGCAGTGGGTGCTGTGGACGCCATCCACACCCCTGCTTTACGACGGAGACTATGCTTCCGTTTGGAGCCACTGGAAGCAAGCCGGCTCCTGTGTTTCTCCGAGGACCAGTGGAGTCCTCTGTGGCAGCCCAGCCACAAAGCTGCTTCTCTGCCATCCCTCCACCCTCACAGGCCTGCTGATAAACTCAACGCGGATCTCGCTTTGGTGTTTGTTTCCAGGCGACAGCTGGGGTCAGGAGTGAATCTCCAGACTGCAGCAGTGGCAGCCAGGACGGGAGCCCCTTGGAAGGAAATGCACTGGCAGCGGCAGGATCTCGGGTGCTGGAGAGTTCGGGAAAGTCACAGATACATGGACTATGGAATCAGGTGGCTCGTGTTGAGGGCAAGATAATGAAAAGATCACCACCTGAAACAAAAGGGTGGCACGCTAACGGGCCTCCTCAGTGCCACATAAGACACTCATCTCCTGTGACCAGAGGAAAACCAAAACACTGGATCAGGGCCAGGACTTAACCGTGTAGAAGGCAGAGCTCCAGAGAAGGCCAGGTGCTTGGCCTCAGAAGGTGTTGTTCCAGGTTCGGGTGCTCGGCCTCGGAAGGTGCTGTTCCAAGCTCTGGACCCTGACTGGGAAGAAGAGAGGCCCTGACTGGGAAGAAGAGAGGCTTGCGATGGGGCCATCTGAATGAATGCACTCAAAAATCTTGAATCCCAGATTCCTCTAAATCTGCTGGGCCTGAAGAGGTGTCACATTTCTGTCTGTTAAGGACAAATGCTGTTTCTGTGCTTGAAGACACTGCAGAGACCTCTGCAAGGCGACACGCCTGCCACCCACCTCCAGCTCAGCTCCTCCAGGTCAGCATCATCAAGCTGGAGAAGTGCTGAGGCTAAAAACTGAGGAAGAGACAGTCGGCCAAGGAGCTTCAGGACCAAAATGCATGCACCAGCATGAGCCAGGGGTAAATGCAGAACTAGATCCAAAGAACGTTGGATTCAGGGGAGGCAGAATGTAGAGTTAGATGTTAGAATTCATTGACATGGGCGCATTCAGTCATGATACAGGGTTTAGCCCCTGGGAGGTGCTCCGTGCTGCTAGGGTGGCGTTTTCAACTCGTAAAGTAAAGCAATGTCCCACATTAAGCAGCTGTCTGTCAGGATTGGAAAAGGCACTCCTGGGGTCCAGGCTCACTGCACCGGCTGGTGGCCCAGGCCCAGACGTCAGCAGGGCTGGAGCAGGGCTTCTCTGGTGCTCCTGCTGGCGGCTGAGGTGCACAGTCACCCTCACCTCCCGGCAAATGAGCACTCCTCTCCCAGTCATGATGGAGAAAACACGCATCTCCCTGACTCACTCCTTAACCCAGCCGCAAACTTCACTGGGTTAGCCTCGGTCCATTTCACTCCTACATCTCGAAACTGTGGTCGTCTTTACGATACCACAAGAACCTGGGGGGCGGACAGTCCCAGAGAAAAAGTTTGTGCTGCACAAATGGATGCTGGGCATGACCAGAGTGCCCCACAGACGGTCGACTCAGACCCCACGTGCATCTCTCCCCAGTCGGTCCCTAAAACCCACCCTCAGTGCTTATCCAGGCACATCGGAGCAAGGTATCTGTATGTGGGGCCCCCAGCCCTCTGAGAGGCACAGGGGCTGAGCATACATCCAGGGCTCCCGCAACAAAACACAGCCCCGCAGAGCTGCCCAAGCACCGGCCTTCTCACATTTGTGTTCTAAATGAAGGATTTGGTCATTCGTTTTCTAAATTAGAAAGTTGTCTCTTAGAGCTGTGATAATATGAGCTGGGAAATAAAATACTGAGAGAAGAAAGGATCAGATGATGACCCAATAGAAAATCTCTATAATTTCTTCTTTCAATGACCTTGGTGTTACACTTTGCTCTCTTTGGATATACTCTTCTGTTCACATATCAACCCATTGACAAGTGGACATTCATTCATTTCCAAAACAGCATTATTAGATCATGTCTGAACAATCTACTTTCAAAGGATTTGAAGCCACATAAATGACCAGTACACAACGGAATAATTTTTGGAGGGTTCAAAGTAAGAACTGAAGGAAGAACGGTGGAATCAGGTATCTGAACCTGAAAGAGCCCATCCTGCCAGGTGCATCCCAAGGGGCTCACTGGGCCTGAATTCAAAATGGAGGCACGCGACCTTTTGCTCACTAGAGGTCACACGCCAGCTCTGCGTTCCCGGAAGTGCTGGAAATTTCACAGCTGTCTGTTCATGCTGCTGGAATCAACCAAGGCCAGAAAATCCCAATTTGCCCTCTGGACCAAACCAATAGACTGCTACCAGGCTCTACCAAACAGAATGAAGCAAGTCTGCCTCCCTTATCTGCATAAAGGCCAGAATGAGATCCTGGGCAGGAATTCCCTTGTGGAAGACAATCGCATGTTTCTTCTCTGGAATGCACCTTTGTTTTGTTCCAAAGGCAGCATCTCCCAGTTTGCAAACTGCTTGCTGGAATAATGTCTCTTTCCCCTTTTTTTTTTTTTTTTTGAGATGGAGTTTCGCTCTTGTTGCCCAGGCTGGAGTGCAATGGCGCAATCTCGGCGCTCACCACAACCTCCGCATCCCAGGTTCAAGCAATTCTCCTGCCTCAGCCTCCCGAGTAGCTGGGATTACAGGCATGCACCACTATGCCTGGCTAATTTTGTATTTTTAGTAGAGACAGGGTTTCTCCATGTTGAGGATGGTCTCGAACTCCTGACTTCAGGTGATCCGCCCGCCTCAGCCTCCCAAAGTACTGGGGTTACAGGCGTGAGCCACCGCGCCCGGCCTGTCTCTTTCCTTTTAAAAGAAATTTTTTTAGTGGATTTGTTGACACATGTAAGGTGAGAACAGCTGAACGTAAAGCTACACACTGAGCTTCCGGATAGCCAAGGTGAAAAGGGAAATATGGAAATATGAATCTTACACAAGTCACATTATCTGATAAAAGGAAGCATGTCAGACTTTCAGGAAAGACAGTACTTTAGCCCACAAGGCAATACAAGAAATTTTTTAGGGAATTCTTTTCAAAAGGAATATTGGACAAGTTAGGGGAGGATGTTTTTAATCTCAAATGACACTCACTACAGGGCCTAGAACATGGTAAATGCTCAATGAATGTTTGTTGAATGAATGTAGTAAAAATATAACATTAAATCATAATTCTCGCATAAAATTTATGTAGGCACTTAGAAGTCAAAGAAAGTAGCTTTCTAGTGACCTGATGAGCTGCGAAAGAACACATTTGGAGAATCTAGAGAGATGAATAAATAGCCACCGAAGAGTCTTTCTCAAACATTAGTTGAGCCACACAACTGAGAGAAGCAGACAGGTCCACTCCAAGATTCCTGTGGATGCCGAGGCCTGGTGGTCTGTGTTGTTGATGGACAGGAGACGCAATGCTGTGCTGGGTTTATCAACTACAGTCGGAGGCTCAGGTGGGCCTTACCACGGAGCATCATGGTCTCGCTCTCATCTTCTTGAAATGCAGAGAGAGAGGAAAGAAGCAGCCTAGACCCCCGAGTCATGAAGCAGACAGCAGTGGGTGTAGACACGGTGGCGGTGGGTGTAGACACGGTGGAGGTGGGTGTAGACACGGTGGAAGTGGGTGTAGACACGGTGGTGGGTGTAGACATGGTGGAGGTGGGTGTAGACACGGTGGAGGTGGGTGTAGACACGGTGGTGGGTGTAGACACGGCGGTGGGTGTAGACACGGTGGAGGTGGGTGTAGACACGGTGGTGGGTGTAGACACGGTGGTGGTGGGTGTAGACACGGTGGAGGTGGGTTTAGACACGGTGGTGGGTGTAGACACGGTGGTGGGTGTAGACACGGTGGAGGTGGGTGTAGACACGGTGGTGGGTGTAGACACGGTGGCGGTGGGTGTAGACACGGTGGAGGTGGGTTTAGACACGGTGGTGGGTGTAGACACGGTGGTGGGTGTAGACACGGTGGAGGTGGGTGTAGACACGGTGGTGGGTGTAGACACGGTGGCGGTGGGTGTAGACGCGGTGGAGGTGGGTGTAGACACGGTGGTGGGTTTAGACACGGTGGTGGGTGTAGACACAGTGGTGGTGGGTGTAGACACGGTGGAGGTGGGTGTAGACACGGCGGTGGGTGTAGACACGGTGGCGGTGGGTGTAGACGCGGTGGAGGTGGGTGTAGACACGGTGGTGGGTTTAGACACGGTGGTGGGTGTAGACACGGCGGTGGTGGGTGTAGACACGGTGGTGGTGGGTGTAGACACGGCGGAGGTGGGTGTAGACACGGCGGAGGTGGGTGTAGACACGGTGGTGGGTGTAGACACAGCGGTGGTGGGTGTAGACACGGCGGAGGTGGGTGTAGACACGGTGGTGGGTGTAGACACAGTGGTGGTGGGTGTAGACACGGTGGAGGTGGGTTTAGACACGGCGGTGGGTGTAGACACGGTGGAGGTGGGTGTAGACATGGAGGTGGGTTTAGACACGGTGGAGGTGGGTGTAGACACGGTGGTGGGTGTAGACACGGTGGCGGTGGGTGTAGACACGGTGGCGGTGGGTGTAGACACGGTGGTGGGTGTAGACACGGTGGTGGTGGGTGTAGACACGGTGGAGGTGGATGTAGACAGGGTGGTGGGTGTAGACAAGGTGGAGTTGGGTGTAGACACGGTGGTGGTGGGTGTAGACACGGTGGTGGTGGGTGTAGACACGGTGGTGGGTGTAGACACGGTGGTGGTGGGTGTAGACACGGTGGAGGTGGATGTAGACAGGGTGGTGGGTGTAGACAAGGTGGAGTTGGGTGTAGACACGGTGGTGGTGGGTGTAGACATGGCGGAGGTGGGTGTAGACACGGTGGAGGTGGGTGTAGACACGGCGGTGGGTGTAGACACGGTGGAGGTGGGTGTAGACATGGTGGTGGGTGTAGACACGGTGGTGGTGGGTGTAGACACGGTGGCGGTGGGTGTAGACACAGTGGAGGTGGTTTTAGACATGGTGGTGGGTGTAGACACGGCGGAGGTGAGTGTAGACACGGCAGAGGTGGGTGTAGACACGGTGGTGGGTGTAGACACGGCGGTGGGTGTAGACATGGTGGAGGTGGGTGTAGACAGGGTGGTGGGTGTAGACACGGTGGAGGTGGGTGTAGACACGGTGGAGGTGGGTGTAGACACGGTGGTGGGTGTAGACACGGTGGCGGTGGGTGTAGACACGGTGGTGGGTGTAGACACGATGGTGGGTGTAGACACGGTGGAGGTGGGTGTAGACACGGTGGTGGGTGTAGACACAGTGGCGGTGGGTGTAGACACGGCGGTGGGTGTAGACATGGTGGAGGTGGGTGTAGACAGGGTGGTGGGTGTAGACACGGTGGAGGTGGGTGTAGACACGGTGGTGGGTGTAGACACGGTGGCGGTGGGTGTAGACACGGTGGCGGTGAGTGTAGACACGGTGGAGGTGGGTGTAGACACGGTGGTGGGTGTAGACACGGTGGAGGTGGGTGTAGACACGGTGGCAGCACCGCACGGAACACTCAAAGCCCACTTTCTGGCTGTGATGGCCGAGGAGAGCTGCCTCCCCTCCGAGTGGCCCATCCTAGGTACCCTTGAGCCTCACAAGCTCAGTTGCCAACCTCCCTGCTTCAGGGAGGGGTGGGGCAGCGGGTGGGACAGGAAATTCACCAGGTTGTGCAGGGCAGGGCAGGAGAGCAGAGGGAGACGCTCACGCCCCCGCCCCCAGGCCCGCAGAAGCCGTGGGTGCTGATGAATGCCCCTCAGCCCACAAATCCCTGGCACCTTGACTGTGACAACGATCGCGGCTGCTTTCATTATACTTAGGAGTTGTGAACCACCGCGTCAATTACTTTTATTTCTTCAAATAGTTTCCTGTGAAGCTAACTCATCTCCCCAGATTGTCTCCCAATTTCTTCGTCTGTAAAATGGGGCTGGCAGCAGTGCCCGCCCGCAGGCCTGTGCCGGGACCAAGCTGCGTGTGCTGTGTGTCCTGTGTCTGGCAGATAAGAAACAGTCGGCTAGAGGTAGCTTTTCTCGTGGTTATTTTTCCCGAGAGCACTGGCAGGCATTTTTCCTCTCTGCCATCCTCCCAGCACTGCACACTGTGTCGGGCCCCTGGTGGATTTGCAGATCTAACTCTTGTACGTACATAAACCACACCAGGACCACAGAAGAGAAGCCGAAGTGTGGGTGCTGTCCCCAGGGAGCCCCCGCAGTCTGCCCAGGCTCAGCCTCCTCCCACCCACAAGGAAGGCTGTGGATTAGGAGAGTGAGGAAAATGCCCTTCAAAATACATGATGCATAAAAAACACAAACGTTCACCGCAGATTTATTTGTAATGGCAGAAAACTGGAGGCAACCTTCAAGCTGTCCTTCAGCAGGTAAAGAGTGAACTGCGTGAAAAGCAGCAAGCGAGCGGGTGCACAGTGTTGCAGGTGAGCCTCAGGGGAACTGGGCTGAGTGAAGGGAGACAGTCTCAAGCTGACAAAGTCACAGCAACGGAAAGCAGAGCAGCGGGTGTCAGCGGTCAGGGGTCAGGGAGGGGCAGGAGGTGGCTGTGGCTGGAAAAGGAGCAGGAGAGATGCTCGTGGGATGGAAATGTCCGGCATCTGCACAGAGATCTGCATACAGGGCACAACTGCCCAGCTCTAGACACACTCACACACACACTCACACACACACACACACGGGACACAACTGCCCAGCTCGTCCCTCACACACACATGCACACACACTCCCTCACACACACACATGGGACACAACTGCCCAAAACTAGACACACTCACATGTGCACACTCCCTCACACACACACGCACACACTACCTCACATGTAAGCACACATGCACACATGCTCACACACACTCCCTCATTCACACACACACTCCCTCACATGCACACACCCTCCCTCACTCACACACGCTAGCGCACACATGCACACACACACTCACTCATACGCGCGCACACACACTCCCTCAATGACACGTGCACACACATGCGCACATACATACTCCCTCCCTCACACACAACCTTACACACAAATTCCCTCACATGCACTCACACACGCACACACACTCCCTCACACATACACATACAAACTCACATGCACACACCCTCCCTCCCTCACAGACACACATGCACACATGCTCACACATGTCCTCACATGCCCACACCCTCCTTCATTCGCACACACACACCCTCCCTCACTCACACATGCAAGCACACACGTGCACATGCTCACACACATCCTCACACACTTCCTCACACACCCTCACCCACATGCACTCACACACATGCACACACACTCCCTCACTCATGCACACATACACAAGCATACTCACGCTCATACATGCTCACACACCCTCCCCTCCCTCACACCCACATGCACACACTCGCACATGCACATATGGTCACACAGTCCCTCACACACACACTCCCAGTCCCTCACACACACAAGCACACACACAGACATGCACACACATTCATGCACTTCCTCCTTCACACACATTCATGCTCCTCACACAAATACACCCACATGCACACATGCACACAGACACACTGGTACACACACACGGACACCCACATGCACACACACACAAGCATACCCACATGCACACATACAGACACTGACACACACATGCGCACCCACATGCACACATACACATAGACACACTGATACTCTCACACACCCACATGCACACAGACACACACACATGCACACCCACATATACACAGACGCACTGACAGACTCACACAGACTCACCCATACACATACACTGACACACACACCCCCATGCTCACACACACACTGACACACACGCTCACACCCAGTGTATGTGCAGCTGGTGCCATCCGCCCTCAGGGCACTTGATCCCATCGGTGACCACTCCTTGCTTTGCAAGATGCTGCTGTTGGGGGAACTGGGCAAAGGGGCTGCTGTTGGGGGAACTGGGCAAAGGGAACAGGCACTCTCCGTGTTATTCCTTACGACTGTGTGTGAATCTGCAATTATCTCAAAAGAGAACCGTTTAAAGCAAGAGGACTATGTGGGAGTGGACACCAGCTCCCTGGCCCTGTCCTGCTCTTGCGGCAGCCCCCACCTGCCCGAGGCCTCCGCTGTGGGAACTGGAACCTCCCTCACAGGAAGGGCGTGACCTCGTGTTTACCAGCCCTGCCCTGAGCGCAGAGCCCTTCGTGGAAATTGGTGCCTTGTTGTCATGAGAGGAAGGTTGAGGCCAGGAGAAACCTCAAGTTCTTGTGGGCATGGTGCTGCCTCGCGGTTTGACTGCAGGAGGCCTTACGGCGGCTCCGAGATGGGTGGCTTGGCCTGGAGCAGGACGAGCCAGGGCGAGGGCAGCTGCTGGGCGCCGTGACCCTGGCTCCTGCTGCAGGCTTTCCTCTGGGCCCCCTGTTCCAGAACCTTCTCCCTCTCAGGCCACCTGTGTCTGTGCCCCTCAGGAAGCAAGCAGGCTTTCTGCAGACCAGGCTCTCTCCACCCTCCAGGAGGCGTGGCTGTCAGGGCAGCTGGCTGGCGCCCCACTGCTCTCCAAGCCAACCAGCACCAGGTGTGAAAGGAGTCAAATGTGTCCCAACGTATAAACAATGTTTATCCCGACTAGACAGGCCACATCCTGATGTTTTACATTCTGTTCTAGCTTCCTAGACTAACCTTGTGTACTCAGCTTCTAAATGAGTGTCGGGCCCCTCAAGTAGATGCCGTGAGCAGCTGCTGTGTGCACGTATGTGTGTGCTTGTATGTGTGAACGACAGTGTGTGAGTGTAAGTGAGGGAGTGTGTGTGTGTGAGGACGTGTGAGAGCATGTGCGCATGTGCCGAAGGTGCCAGCTCAGGACAACCAAGCATTACGTGTTCAGGAATTTTGCAAGCTGGTTGTTAAACAGAGCCATTACTAAAAATTCAATTCGATGGGCTTATAGAGTTTATAAAATTGCACGAACCCATGCTCTGGGGTCGCTGACATCTGTTCTATGGAGGAAATACAGTCACGCACCACATGACAATGTTTTGATATGGAGGAAATACAGCCACGCACCATATAACAATGTTTTGATATGGAGGAAATACAGCCACGCACCATATAACAATGTTTTGATATGGAGGAAATACAGCCACGCACCATATAACAATGTTTTGGTCAAGCAGGGTGGTCCCACAGGATTGTAGCACCAGATTCTTACTGTCCTCTCCCGGGTTAGTTGTGTTTGGACGCACATACACCACTGTGTGGCAGTCGCCTGTGGCATTCGGTACAGGAGCCTGCACACAGGTCTGTGGCGGAGGAGCGCTGGCTGTACCTTGCAGCCCAGGCCTACAGGGGGCCCGGCCATCCAGGCGTGTGTAAGTCACTGTGAGGCCCGCACAGAGAAATCGCCCAGCCATGTATTTCTCAGAGTGCATCCCTGTCACAAAGCCACGGTGAGTGTGAACGCAGGGAGCGCTGCCTGTACCTCCTCCCACCTGGGAGTGTCTCATGCCCTCCCCCAACCCCGTTTTTTCCTGAGTCATTTGTTAAACCTTGGCCTCGCTTGTGACTGGCAGTTTGAAATGCCCTATTCAAGTCAACTCCCCTCCCTGGCCCACGCCACCTTCGTGTTTCCTGTGAAGAGGCTGAAGGGAGGCCATGGGGGCCCAACGTGTGACCAGTGGGTACTCAGCTGGGAGTGGTGCACATTCCAACTCAGGGTCCAGAGCTGTCACCCCACAAGGTCCTGCCTCTCGACTCATGCCCACCCCAGAGGTAAGGACCGTCTGCCCACAGCCTGGGCTTCCAGGCGCTGCAGCTGGGAACTGTCACCCCACCTGGAATGGTCCCCTGAGATGTGGCTCTGTCAAGGGCTGGGGACAGGTTCTGGCTCCGGGCACGTGGACTCTCGCCCACCCAGGTCCAGGACCCAAGGCACAGAGGCTGGGCTGATTCCTGGGGGCCTCGCTGTGCCCTTCCTGCACAGCCCCTGGGGGATTTGCAGGGTGTGGGGTCTTTGTGGGGCCTTGTCCTTCAGAGCTTCCTATTTGCCCCTTTCAAATTGGTTGAAGAAACCTTGGGGAGTCAGGAGAGAGCCGAGAATCAGGACTGAGTGAGAACAGCGAGCTGCCCTCCAAGGCCGCCTCTGACTGGGGAGGCTTCCGCGTGGCTGTGCAGTCACTGGGCTGATGAGGCTTTCCGCCCTTACAACACAGGTTCAACTACAACACCTCAAACTCAACCCCAACAGCTATGAAAGCAGCATCGGGGAATTGGAACGAAATCACTCCCGATCCCACCTCTGCTACATCCGAGCCATGTCTGTTCCTGCATTCATTTCCTGCAATTTTACTCCCCAGCATTCGTGTTTTCATGTGGTTCTAACTAAGGCCCTAGAGGCTACAGCCCCACGCCGTCCTTGCAGAAGCTGTAGCTCATCTCCTTCGCTATTTTAATTGAATGGGCACCAAGCGTTTGCCCTGGACCACCTGTGAAAGGCACCGAGGGAGAAGCCATGGGCTCAAGACCCCCCAGCCAGGGCTCGCCTTAGGACCCTTTACATATTTGAAGGGAGGCCAGGAAGGTGCAGCCACAGTTTCATTCTCTTATCACTCTGCCTGCATTTTTCAGGTTTCAATAAGAGCAGATATAATTAGAGGGGCTCTGTTCCTCCTGGAGAAAGAACACTGCAAATTACAGGGTATCTCTAATGAGCCATGGACCGGAAGACAGCATCACTGACCCCTCATCATCTCAGGCTCTCCTCTTGCCACTCCCACCATGACTGGCTGGATGACCAAGCAGGGGCCTGAGTGTTCAGCTACAAAGACAAGCAGCTCCATGCAGCCTTCAGAGAGGAAGAGAGGCAGGTGGCTAGAGAGCCCCCTGTGACAGATGGGCTGGTCCGGGCAGGAGGAAGGAGGGCAGGGGCTGGAGAGTCCCTGGGGACCAATGGGGCTTCTTGGCCTAAATGCCACGGGTGGGAGCTGGGGCAGCAGGGGTTTGTGAGGCACTCACCTGGATTATCTGTCATTGTTGTAGCTCATACAGTCCAAGGACCTCAGACTATAAATGTGTGGTGGTGAATTAACTACCTGTTGTGATGTTATCCTGGTCCTGTGAAGATTTACAAGGAGCCATGTCACTTCTCTGCCAAAACCCTGGACTGTCCTCCTGTCCCCCTTGGCACAAATCACAAAGCGCCATCGTGCACACAGGAGCCCGGGGGCTCAGGCGTCACCCAGCAGCTCCAGGCCTCCTGGCTCCAACCCTCTGCCTTCTTGCTTTCCCTTCAGCAGAACGGGTCTCTCCCTTCCCGGGGCCTTTGCACATTCCCCCTGTAGGAATGCTCTGTCTTGCTCTCTGCAGGAATTCCCTCTGCAGCAATGCTCTGTCCCCAGGGATCTGTGTGTTGCTTCTCTCTGAGGACACCTGCGAGCGAGATTTCCTCGACTACACAACGTCAAATAACTGGCCCTTACCTGCATCTGCCCTGCTTTATTTTCCTGAGTAACACGCACGTAACACGCGTCACCACCTGGCCTGCTCACTGATGTGACTGCTCATTGACCCTCCCAGACTCAGTGGGGTGAAGATATCTCATTCCTAATTGCATCTCACTTAGCAGTAATAAACAGAACACGAATCTGCATTCAACGGTCGATGCTTCCACAGTGTTTCCTCCAATACTCGAGAATCTGCTCCACAGGTAAACGGACTTCTCCAACTGGTGATAGAAATGGTGGTGCCCGTGGTGGTGGGAACCCACACCCACCCTCAGACTCCAACTCGCGCATCTCCGCAGGCCCAACAGCCCCCGCTCCAGTGGCGCAGAGACCCCCGAAGGCCGGCACCTGGACGTTCCCCTTGAGCTATTCACTTAAGAAGAAAAAACAGTCCAGTCTCCATAGGGCACTCTTCTCATCCATTCTGAGAATTGAAAATCAGGCTTTTTGTTTGTTTTGTTTTTAACCTCAAACAGCACTGTTTCTAAACCACGGGGAGTGAATCCAAATCTGAAGACAGAATATGGACTGAACTTCGGGGCTCCCTGGGCTGCTGGCTGTCAGCTCACCTGTGCCCACCTACCCCGTGCCCACCTGCTTTACTTACCATCCTGGAAAGACTTCTCAGTCTCAGCCATGGCCCATGGCAGCCCAGGCAGCCCTTGCCTTCCGCTCTCTGCGAGGGAGCCCCTGGAGGGCGGCAGTGGAAGAGACGCTCTGAAGCCTCAACAGCTCCAGAGACCAGTGGGCAGCCTTTCCATTCCTGTGTGCCGGCCTGACATCCCCCCGCGTGAACTCCCTTGCACACACACGAACACACACACACAGAGATTACCCACACGCCCATTCAAACAGCAACTTAATAACAAGGAACTGAAAAAAAGAAAGGCTATTAGACCCAAATGAGAATCACAAGGTGGATCCCAATGAGAACTGTCTGCAGCATCACACTCACCGCTGTGTCTGAGAACAGGATTTTCCATTTCGGCAGTGGATCTAAACCTGATGCCCAGGACCTGTTTTAAGCAGTGAATCAAAGATCACAGAAGTTAAAGTTTGGCAAGTTTTCGACGTCAAGGAGATGGAAAGCCTAAAATCAGTTTCTGAACCACTAAATTAGAGGGAACAGCCTTGCTCGCGAATTTTCCAGAATTCCACAAACAATTAAGAAGACCCAGGGTAGGAAGCACATACAATTTGTTTTCTTTGATGGTTAAGTTGGTTTAAGGCACAGAGTTGAGAAGACAGGCAAGAAGAAGCAACTGTTCAAGCCCCAAGGAGAATCCTGAACCGACCCAGCCCCCAAGGAGAATCCAGAACCGACCCAGCCCCCGAGGAGAACCCAGAACCGACCCAGCCCCCGAGGAGAACCCAGAACCGACCCAGCCCCCGAGGAGATCCCAGAACCGACCCAGCCCCCGAGGAGAACCCAGAACCGACCCAGCCCCCGAGGAGATCCCAGAACCGACCCAGCCCCCAATGAGATCCCACAACCGACCCAGCCCCCGAGGAGATCCCAGAACCGACCCAGCCCCCGAGGAGACCCCAGAACCGACCCAGCCCCCGAGGAGACCCCAGAACCGACCCAGCCCCCGAGGAGATCCCAGAACCGACCCAGCCCCCGAGGAGATCCCACAACCGACCCAGCCCCCGAGGAGACCCCAGAACCGACCCAGCCCCCGAGGAGATCCCAGAACCGACCCAGCCCCCGAGGAGATCCCACAACCGACCCAGCCCCCGAGGAGATCCCACAACCGACCCAGCCCCCGAGGAGACCCCAGAACCGACCCAGCCCCCGAGGAGATCCCACAACCGACCCAGCCCCCGAGGAGACCCCAGAACCGACCCAGCCCCCGAGGAGATCCCACAACCGACCCAGCCCCCACGGAGAACCCAGAACCGACCCAGCACCTGGGCAACATTCTGCCCCCGGCCTCCTCCACTTGCTGGGCATGCATCACCGTCATCTGCAGCCACTTTCCCCAATGCCAGAATCAGAAATTTTCAAAATGGTTGAATAGTATTTGGTTATTTTTTGATAGGATATAATGCTTTTGTTCCTTCTTTGACTTCACGTTTTCTTTGTTCTCTAAGCTAAATGCCAGCATTTAAACTGTATACCGAGACACACAATTGTGTGAATATTAGCTTGAGGCTCTCTTAAGACAGACTCAGATATCCAAAGGCTTTGAACTCACAGAATTTTGTAAAACTCGAAGCACATTCGCACTGCCCTTTGGAACCTGCCTTGTCTACAGAGCTAATAGGCAAGACCCAGCTCACCCAGGGGGCTCGGGGATCCCCAGCCCTGCGTGACTTTGCAACACCAGCTGAGATGCCTGGTTCCCAGTTAAGTTACTAGGATGAGTTACAGCACTATTTATTCAAAACTCTGAGAGGCCCGTGTTACTGCTAATTCCAATTTTAACTTTTCTTCCAGAATGGCAGGAAGCGATGAGGGCAGCTGAGGTTTCCAGAGCTCGTGTGTAGCAGGCGCCACGGCTAGTGCATCATGTGAAATTATGTTGCTTTTCTCAACTGTGAGGTGGGGACTCAACATGGTTTCCATCGCAGCCCATACAGGCTGCTGTGGTTGACCAAGCTTCCTTTGCTGGCAGGGCTGGGTGTGTTCTGCTGGCTGCAGCTCACCACCATGCTCAGAATGGCTCATAATCATTTGTTGTGTACTGTTTTTTCCAAAGACACGTCTCTGAGACTACGTCAGCTGCACCTGGACATGGTCACACGTCAACATCATACAGAGTGGTTTCTCAGGTAGCAGAAAGTGACAAATGAGACACGGTTATTCTTGTAAGGCAACTGTGAAATAACAGGGTATCACACAAATTTAGGTGGCCATTGTCTTCGTCTCAAATTTTCTCCTTAAGAAATTAAAAACAGGAGAGAAAAACAAGTTTTCGATTAAAAAACAAGGAGATCCTGGGATCTCCGTGGGGGCTGGGTGGATCCTGGATTCTCCTCGGAGGCTGGGTCGGTTCTGGGATCTCCGTGGGGGCTGAGTCGGTTCTGGGATCTCCTCGGGGGCTGGGTCGGTTCTGGGATCTCCTCGGGGGCTGGGTCGGTTCTGGGATCTCCACGGGGGCTGGGTCGGTTGTGGGTTCTCCTCGGGGGCTGGGTCGGTTCTGGGATCTCCTCGGGGGCTGGGTCGGTTCTGGGTTCTCCTCGGGGGCTGGGTCGGTTCTGGGTTCTCCTTGGGGCTTGAACAGTTGCTTCTTCTTACCTGTCTTCTCAACTCTGTGCCTTAAACCAACTTAACCATCAAAGAAAACAAATTGTATGTGCTTCCTACCCTGGGTCTTCTTAATTGTTTGTGGAATTCTGGAAAATTCACGAGCAAGGCTGTTCCCTCTAATTTAGTGGTTCAGAAACTGATTTTAGGCTTTCCATCTCCTTGACGTCGAAAACTTGCCAAACTTTAACTTCTGTGATCTTTGATTCACTGCTTAAAACAGGTCCTGGGCATCAGGTTTAGATCCACTGCCGAAATGGAAAATCCTGTTCTCAGACACAGCGGTGAGTGTGATGCTGCAGACAGTTCTCATTGGGATCACATTTTCTTCTCTGTTCAGGTGGAGGCATTTCATACATTTTTTACCAGGACCAGACAACCTTGGCAAATCATCTAGAAAGCACAGTAAATGTGAAAATGTGATTAAATAAACAGGTGTTGGATTTCAGAATACTGTTTTATTTTTTTTCCTCAAAAGACATCTGCTTACCAATCTCAGTGTTACTGGGGCTGAAGGCCATGCTCTTTCCAATGATGGGACTACACTCAAGTGCTAATTTATTACAATTACAAGTTTCCCTTCACCACTGCTGATGGCATAATTTGACCACAAGTGTTTTGCAAATATATCACACCTGGTATTCCAGGACCCACTTCAACCACTGGCTTGACTCAGAATTTTCCAACAGGGACAATTAGCATGTGCCACCTGCTGGAAACACTAGCCACACCTGAAGTGAAAGGAGAATCCTGGAAAGTCTTCCCCTGGAGCTACCAGACTCCCCACTCTCGAGTCTGGTGGACACGGCACTGTCAGGACCCCTCCCCTCGGCAGAGAGTGGTGGTCGGCTGCAGGTCTGCCCACCGTCTGACGGGATTCCAGCTCTGCCCCAGTGCTTGGCACCTGGGTGCTTCTGTTAAACCCAGTCCCTCCCAGACCCTTCCCAGATTAAACCTGGACCCAGGACCCCGCCCTTAGCTGCATTATCACTGCCCAGCAGACCTGACCCTAACCCTAACCGCCAGAGATCCTGTTAAGCAGGTCTATGGTGGGGCCCAGAATTCACACTTCATCCACTTCCCAAGTGATGCTTTACTGTTGGTCCCAGAATAGGGTGATAGCCCCTCAGTCTGCCAGGGGCAAAGGAGGGTTCCTGTGACCTGGGACTTTCAGCGTTGAAGCTGGAGCAGCCCTAGGGCAAAGTGGGACGGTCACCTCACCTGGGGACCTCACCTGGGGACCTCACCTGGGGATCACACCTGGGGACCTCACCTGGGGACCACACTTTGAGAACCACTTACCTGGATCCTTTATTAATCCTACGGTGGAGAAAAACTGCTGACATTAATTGTGCTGAACTTTGTATTTTTATTGCAGACTTCTTCCTTCGAGATGTATGTGCACAAGAGAAGATAACAAATGAGTCCCCAACACCTAATCTGGAATTTTTATATTAAGTTTTCTCTCTCTTAGAGAAGAATTTTCAAAGAGTAGTCATTCAAAAAGCAAAACACACAAACAAAACCCTAAAACTTTGAGAGACCATTTTATGCCTGGAGCCAAAGATGAATTTTATAGGCTTTGCTTCTTTAGGTCTTGGCTCCAAATTCTACACAGTGCTGTGTTCCTTTCCACCATCAACATACAGAACCAATTCCCCTTCTGGATTGTATGCACTGAAGAACTTTAGCTTTATTTATTAACTTTTTAAAGATCTCTCAATTGGTTACATAACAAACCACCACCAGCCTAGTGGTGTAAAGGAAGCAGCATCATTTCCCGAAATTCTGAGGGTTGGCTGGAAGGTTCTCGGGGCTGAGACTCCTGGGCTGGGCTGGGGTGGAAGAGGGCCTCACTCACACGTGCAAGGCCTTGGCAGAGACATGGCCTCCGAGGCACCTGAGGTCTCTGTCATTCACTCCCTCATTCTCAGGAGGCCAACTCGGCCTGCCCACTTGGCAGCAGAAGGTTCCCACCGCAACAGCGGGGACGTCCAATGCCTTTCAAGCACTTCCCAAGTTTCTGCTGGTGTCAGGGCTGCTTTTGTCCCCTTGGTCAAGCTGCACCGTGTGTCCAGGCCCAGCGGTCACAGGGGAAGGGCCATGCAGGCTCGGTGTATGGAGGCAAGTCTGGGCACCATCACAAACTCACCATTTCAACAAAACACTCATTGTTTCTGAACTATCTTTAAAAACAACTTTTAAGAAATAAGAAAAGCTATTTCCAGAGCACTCACCAGTGCCACGTGCACACGGATCATCTAATTCTAGGGGGGCAACTGCACGGTTTGCCCCCGACCGTCCAGTGTTAGTGTCCAAGGAAGCCCCTCAGTTCCGAGGTGAACCAACAGAACAGATCACCCTGTGAGGTATGAAGTGTTGTCCTCTGCATTCGACAGATGAGGAGGTTACAGCTGCGAGACTGTAGGCGGTTGCCCGGGCGCTCTTCCAAGTAGGTAGCAGGGCCGAGTGAATGAGCCTAGGCACCGCCCGGTATTGCTGCAACAGCCAGGCGGCGCTTTGACTTCTGGGTCAGTGTCACTGCCTACCTGAATCACTCACTTCCTGTAAAATACTTGATTCCAAATTACTTTGGTCTGTATTGAAAAATAAAATTCAAGTTTACCTTTAAAGACAAAGATTTGCCATATTTAAGGATATTTTAGAGAACGTGCTACTGACTCTGAAGAAGAGGCATAAAACCGCCTTGAGGAACGGCATCGTCTGTGCTGAAGCAGGCAGCGCCCAGCTGACGACTGTCAATGCAGCCCTAGCAAACACGGCCACGCTGCCCTCCATCCAGGGTCCTGTCCAGTGCTGTGCTAAGCACTTCACGTGGTGACAGCTAGCTGCACACCAGGCACGGTCAGGTGCTTAGCGTTTATTAAGTCGTTCAATTCTTCTGTAACCCCATGAAATGGATGCTATTGCTAGAGCTGTTTTCTACAGAGAATTTAAGGATTTTGCCTAAGGAGATGTCACCAGCAAGTAGCAGACCATGGTTTGAACCTGTCCCCCAGTCCCAAGTCTACACATAACTGTTGTCCCACGGGTGATAGGTGTGACAGTCCTAGGCTCCAGCTCTTTCCCCGGCGCCACAGTGCCTGCTGTGCTTGGAGACACCACCCTCACCTGACTGGGAGAGCTCCACTCAAGGACCCGCACAAAAATAATCCCAGCTTCCGTGGTTTCCTCACACCATTCCCCGCTCACAGTTTACCTCCCTAGGAACCCAACACTGTTTTCCTGTAGCTCATCACTTCACAAATGTATTGCCTTTTGTTAAAATCGTGAATAAGCCTCTGGTCTGACTGCCTCTGCGGGGTTTTTGTCTCATTTCGTGAAGCCGCCACATGCATATGAAGTAACGCTTTTTCTCCTGTTAATCTACTTTTGCCAGTTCAATTTGCAGGACTCCAGTCACTAAAAAACATAAGTGAGTGAAGGAAAAGTTTTTTTCCTCACCACCTGTTTGTTGGAAAGCAAGTAATGGCCCACCTGGTATTCTTTTGGTCAAGACACAACGGGGAAATGGGGCTCCGGTCAGGCCCCTCAGGTTGGGCCTAATTGGAGCAGAATCGGAGGGGCCTGGGCTTCTTGCTGCCAGTGGCAAATGTCCAGTCAGGAAGTCACACGGGCAGCAGCAATGCCGGCAAGGGACGCTTGTAGCAGGAACGGGGCAGCCTCCCTTACTCAAACAAGACGCGGACTGCCTGAGGCCGGCAGCTCAGAGAACAAAAGGCAAGTGTGAGGGGGACGGGGTCAGTACTCAGAAAGCTCCATGTGCCTTCCTGCTGAAAGCAACATTGAAAGCACAACATGTGCATTTGGTTAAAAACGCTGAGGGCTTGTGCTGGGAGGCGGCAGTGGTGGCCTCAACCATCTCCCCGTCCGCCCGCATGGCAACCACGACGACTATTTCCTCTGGTCAGGCATTTCCAACCTCCTCCTGTTATTACAACACTCTCTACTCACTAATTTTAGATAGAGTCTGTGCCAGACTTCCGACTACGATAGTGAGAATTCAGCCAACTTGCTCTGAAGAAATCATACAGGGCCTAAACTTTCTGAGTCCGTATGAGTCTAAAAATATCTTTATTATTCCCACACACTTAATTTAGGGTCCAGGATAAAAGCAGATTTTGCCGAGAGCCTAGAGGCATCACTCCACCATCTCCACCACTACATCCCTCCATCATCTCCATCACTACATCACTCCACCATCTCCATCACTGCATCACTCCACCATCTCCATCATCTCCATCTCTCCATCACTCCATCACTCCATCATCTCCCTCATCTCCATCACTCCATACTCCATCATCACCATCTCCATCATTCCATCATCTCCATCATCTCCATCATTCCATCACACCATCATCTCCATCATCTCCATAGTCTCCATCACTCCATCACTCCATACTCCATCATCTCCATCACTCCATCATCTCCATCATCTCCATAGTCTCCATCACTCCATCACTCCATGCTCCATCATCTCCATCACTGCATCATCTCCTCATTCCATCATCTCCATCATCTCCATCACTCCATCATCTCCATGCCTGTTGACATTTTCTCAGGACCTGCCTGCACGCCTCGACCTCTGCCTTGGAAGGTCTGGGCTGCTGTGTTTTCTGCTTGTTTCTTGCACACAACGTAAAGTTGGGTTTCACTTTGCGAATGATCCCACGAGTCTTTTTGTTGAAGAGGTGAGTCGAATTTATTTACTTATGTAGACTGAGAGGAAGGATGCAGTGGCCCTTGGTTTTGTCATATTTCATGTTATAGTTTCTAACCAATCCTCTTTTAAAAATTTCACTAAGCATTCTGTGTTCCACTGTGGGTGTGTCTTGATTTGGAAGGTTGATGTTTTTGTTCCAGGAGATACGTTTGCTCAGTTTTCCTTCCCCTTGTGGCCACACTTCTCTGCTGCTCTCATCGTTTCATTTGTGCCTTTCCCGTTTTTTGTCTGTTGGTTTGTCTGTGCCATGGTGTGATCCTAGCTCACTGTCACCTCCAACTCCCAAGCTCAAGCACCTCCCGCCTAGGCCTTCAAAGTGCTAGGATTGCAAGCGCCGCCCCACGCTCAGCCCCTTTCCCTTGTTAAAAAGTGCCTTACTCTCAAGAGGCTGAGGCAGGAGAATCGCTTGAACCCGGGAGGTGAAAGTTGCAGTGAGCCGAGCCGAGATCGCGCCATTGCATTCCAGCCTGGGTGACAGAGCAAGACTCTGTCTCAAAAAAAAAAAGCCTTACTCTGTCTGTGTCTAGACCCTGTGGGGCTTCTCTGGTTAAGGGGGCCTGTCCTCCTTAGATGAGCTGTCCCAGGAGGCTGCTACTTCCTGCAGCTGCTGAGGCTCACCCTCCTCTTTCCACCACTGAGGCCCAAGGCTCCAGTTGCTCTGAGGAGTGTGGAGGCCCGTGAGGTGTGGGGGTGCGGAGTGGCCGTGGAAGGTGTGTAGGGGATTGCAGTTGGGGTTGGGTGCTGGATGTGCAGGTAGAGTATAAGGGTAGGGGGTTAAGGTGTGGGGCATGGGGGAGATTGGGGAGGTTGGGAACATGGGGCAAAGTGGTGGGGGATGGGGGATGCAGGGGTGGGGATGGGGGATGCAGGGGTGGGGTGTGGAGTTATGGTGAGTGGGGGGCTGTAGTGGGGCGTTGGGGGTGGAGGGGGCTGTGAGGGTGTGGGGTGTGGGTCATGAGACATGGGACAGTGGGGGCTAACGGGGTGGGTGGGGTGTGGGGTGTGGGATGCAGAGTGTGGGAGCTCAGGGAGTTAGAAGGTCGAGTTAGAGGGTGTAGGTGTGGGGGCATGATGGTGGGGCCTGGGGGAGGGGGAGGGTGCGCAGGTGCAAGGTGTGAGGGTGGAAGGCTGGGAGACCGGTAGTGTGTGCGACTGTGGGGTGTGGAAGTGGGGGACTCAGGGGAGGAGTGGGGTGTGGAGGTGTGGGGCACGGGGTGGGGGGTTAGGGAAGGGTGGAATGTAGGGGGAGTTTGATGTAAGGGTGGGGGCTATGAGGAGGGGTGGGGTGTGAGGGTGAGGGTGGGGGCTTTGGGCAGGGTAGAGGTGTGGGGCATGGGGTGGAAGGCTGTGGGAGCAGTGGGGTATGGGGTGCAGGGCATGAGGGTGAGGGGCTAAGGGGAAAGTGGAGGTGTGGGGCATGGGGATGGAAGATTAGGGCCAGTGGTGGGGTGTAGGGGTGTAGGGTGTTACCTGGAGGGGGAAGGTGTGGGATGCACGGTGTGAGGGTGGAGGGGTGGGGAGGGTGGGTGCTGGGCATACGGGTGGACAGTGGGGAGGGGTGGGGGCCAGGCATGAGGATGAAGGGGTGGGGAGGGGTGGGTGCTGAGTGTGGGGGTGGAGGGTGGGGAGGGGTGGGGGCCGGGCATGAGGGTGGAGAAGTGGGGAGGAGTGGGTGCTGGGCGTGGAGGTGGAGGGGTGGGGAGGGGTGGGGTGCAGAGGGTTGGGAGGGAGGGGTGAGGGAAGGGGAGGTGCTGGGCGTGGGGGAGGGGGGGTGGGTGCCAAGCCTGGGGGTGGAGGGTGGGTGTGGTGGGTGCGGGGCCTGGTGGTGGAGGGAGGGTGGGTTGGGTGCTGGGCATGGGGTGGAGGATGGGTGGGGTGGGTGCTGGGTGTGGGGGTGGAGGGGTGGGGAAGGGTGGGTGCCAGGCGTGGGGGTGGAGGGGTGGGGAAGGGTGGGTGCTGGGCGTGGGGGTGGAGGGATGGGTGGGGTGGGTGCTGGGCCTGGGTTTGGAGGGGTGGGTGGGGTGGATGCCAGATGTGAGGGTGGGTGCCGGGCCTGGGGGTGGAGGGGTGGGTGGGGTGGGTGAGGTGGATGCCGGATGTGAGGGTAGAGGGGTGGGTGCTGGGTGTGGGGGTGGAGGGGTGGGGAAGGGTGGGTGCTGGGCGTGGGGGGGGAGGGGTGGGGAAGGGTGGGTGCTGGGCGTGGATGGGGTGGGTGCTGGGCGTGGGGGTGGAGGGGTGGGGAAGGGTGGGTGCTGGGCGTGGGGGGGGAGGGGTGGGGAAGGGTGGGTGCTGGGGCGTGGGGAGGGGTGGGGAAGGGTGGGTGCTGGGCGTGGATGGGGTGGGTGCTGGGCGTGGGGTGTGCACCTCCTCTGGGCTCCCCGACCTTCACCCTCGCCCTTCCCAGTCCTGGTGTCAAGGTAACTGGAATGTGTTTCTGTTTCTCTTTCTCCTTTTGATTGTTTTTCTCCCCAGAAGAGGAGAGGAAGTGTCCTTTCGGTCCCCTGTCCTGGGTCTCCTTGCTTGCCCCCACCTCCCCACCAGCCTCTGCCCTGTCCTTCTGCTCCGGAAAGTTTCCTCTGTGGAGGAAGCGTCCTGCCTCCCTTCTCTTCTCTGAAGCCTATTCGCCTGGCATTTCCTCAGCGCATGGTCCAGGACTTTAATCTCTCCTTGAGAATTCTCCATCTGTCTTTTTGAGGCATATTCTGGAAACCTCACTGGACCCTGAAGTCCATCTCTTTCGTGGGATTTTCAGTTCAGAAATCATATTTTAAACATCTTTCCTGCTCTCTGCCTGTTCTTAACTAGTATTCTGTTCTTATGTTACCTATATGCGTATTTTCTTGAATATTCTGAGGACAGTAATTAGATCTTTAACTTCATTTTTTGTTTTCCCACTTAGCTGTTTTCTCTGAGGTCAGCTGTCACCTTTTTTTTTTTTTTTTTGAGACGGAGTTTCACTCTTGTTGCCCAGGCTGGAGTGCCCAGGCTGGAGTGCAATGGTGCGGTCTCAGCTCACCGCAACCTCCGCCTCCCGGGTTCAAGCGATTCTCCTGCCTCAGCCTCCCGAGTAGCTGGGATTACAGGCATGCACCACCATGCCCGGCTAATTTTGTATTTTTAGTAGAGACGGGGTTTCTCCATGTTGGCCAGGCTGGTCGTGAACTCCCGAACTCTCAATCCACCCACCTCGGCCTCCCAAAGTGCTGGGATTACAGGCATGAGCCACCACGCCCAGCCAGCTGTCACCTTTGTGGATCCTCCCCCTCTGTCGCTGGTTTCTATGGAAAGTCTGGAGAAGCCTGCTCACCTGTGTCTAAGAACCAGTGGCTCATTTAGATGGGATACTGTGGGTTTTCCGTGGGGTCCTCCAGGTGGAAAGGTGAGCTAGGGGTGGAAAGGTAGCTGGGGGTGGAAAGGTGAGCTGGGAGGGAATCCACAGACGGGGCGTGGCTGTGCTTTATTTAGGACAGATGGGTGAGGAGCAGGCAGCAGGCTAGCATCTCTCCCTTCCCCCGAAACACTGCAATCCACACTAGAATAAGGCACATATACACCATGGAATACTGTGCAGCCATGAAAAAATGATGAGTGCATGTCCTTTGTAGGGACATGGATGAAGCTGGAAACCATCATTCTCAGCAAACTATCGCAAGGACAAAAAACCAAACACTGCATGTTCTCACTCATAGGTGGGAATTGAACAATGAGAACACATGGACACAGGAAGGGGAACATCACACACGGGGCCTGTTGTGGGGTTGGGGGGAGGGATAGCATTAGGAGATATACCTAATGTAAATGACGAGTTAATGGGTGCAGCACACCAACATGGCACATGTATACATATGTAACAAACCTGCACGTTGTGCACATGTACCCTAAAACTTAAAGTATAATTAAAAAAAAAAAAGATTTTACCCTGGGGCCCTAGACCCAGGCTGCAAGCTGTGGCCACACCCAGGATGCTGACTCCAGGGCCGTGAATAAGAATCTTCTGACGCTGCCTGGGAACCTGCTGGCTTCTTGGCGGGATACAGACGCAGGCACGGGTTGCAGAGGTGACTACTGCCAGGCACTTGTTCACAGGCAACTGGAATTACCAGCCCCCACCCCGTTTTCAGCCCCACATCTATCTCCCTTTGACCTCCCAGCTCAGTGCCACTCTGGGATCCCTCAGCAAGATGACCCTGGCCTCCACCATTGATCTCTGAGCATCTCTGGCTGGGCGCCTTCACCCTGCCCCACCGCCCACACCCTTGCATCCCCTTCCACCTTTGGAAATCATTGGCCATTCTCATCTGCCAGCACCTCTATTCCTGTTCTCTTTGGGGCTACACGTTTCTCCTTGGACTTTGTTTCAATCCAACTGGGCCTGAAGAGGAGGGAGGCCCTGCATTCAGGGTGCCCAGCAGCAACTGCCCTCCACTTAGCGGGAGTTCAGGACAGGACAGAGTGCTTAGACATCTGGGGGCATTCCAGCACTTCCAAAGACCCCGTGCGTGGTGTTCTCAACGTCTGTAAAATGTGGAGGTGAACATTAGACTATTGCTCTCCTAAGAACTTCAGTCACGCTGAGCACAGGGGGTAAATTCATCCCTGGTCGCATTCTTGTGAAAGGCATTATGTAGCAGATCATCTTTTTTTTTCTTTAATTTCATTTTATTTTATTTTAAGTTCTGGGATACATGTGCAGGACGTGCAGCCTTGTTGCATAGGTAAACGTGTGCCATGGTGATTTGCTGCACAGATCAACCCTTCACCTAGATATTAAGTCCAGCATACATTATCTTATTTTTCCTGATGCTCTCCCGCCCCCCAACCCCACGACAGGCCCCGGTGTGTGTTGTTCCCCTCCCTGTGTCCATGTGTTCTCATTGTTCAGCTCTCACTTATAAGTGAGAACACGCAGTGTTTGGTTTTCTGTTCCTGTGTTAGTTTGCAGAGGATAACGGCTTCCAGCTCCATCCATGTCCCTGCAAAGACATGATCGCATTCCTTTTTATGGCTGCGTAGTATTCCATGGGGTATATGTGCCACGTTTTCTTTGTCCAGTCTATCATTGATGGGCATTTGGGTTGATTCCATGTCTTTGCTATTGTGAATAATGCTACAATGAACATACGCATACGTGTATCTTTATAATAGAATGATTTATAATCCTTTGGGTATACACCCAGTAATGAGATTGCTGAGCCAAATGGTATTTCTGGTTCCAGATCTTTGAGGAATCACCACACTGTCTTCCACAATGGTTGAACTAATTTACACTCCCACCAACAGTGTAAAAGCATTTCTATTTCTCTACAGCCTCACCAGCATCCGTTGTTTCTTGAGTTTTTAATAATCTCCATTCTGGCTGGCGTGAGATGGTTTCTCATTGTGGTTTTGATTTGCATTTCTCTAATGATCAGCGATGTTGAGCTGTTTCTCCTATGCTTGTTGGCCACATGTATGTCTTCTTTTGAGAAGTGTCTGTTCATGTCCTTTGCCAACTTTTTAACAACAAGGTTGTTGGGTTTTTTTCTTATAAATTTGTTTAAGTTCCTTGTAGATTCTGGATATTAGACCTCTGTCAGATGGAGAGTTTGCAAAAATTTTCTCCCATTCTGTAGGTTGCCTGTTCACTCTGATGACAGTTTCTTTTGCTGTGCAGAAGCTCTTTAGTTTAATTAGGTCCCATTTGTCAATTTTTGCTTTTGTTACAATTGCTTTTGGTGATTTCATCATGAAATATTTGCCCGTGACTGTGTCCTGAATGGTATTGCTGAGATTTTCTTCTAGGGTTTTTATAGTTTGGAGTTTTACATTTAAGTCTTTAATCCATCTTGAATTGATTTTAATATAAGGTGTAAGAAAGGGGTCCAGTTTCAATTTTCTGGATGTGGCTAGCCAGTTTTCCTGGCACCATTTATTAGACAGGAAATCCTTTCCCCATTGCATGTTTTAGTCAAGTTTGTCAAAGATCAGATGGCTGAAGATGTGTGGTCTTAGTTCTGAGTTCTTTATTCTGTTCCATTGGTCTATGTGTCTGTTTTTGTGCCAGTGCCATGCTGTTTTGGTTACTGCAGCCTTGTCTGAGGTCAGGTAACTGAAGCATCCAGCTTCGTTCTTTTTCCTTAGGATTGTCTTGGCTATATCGGCTCTTTTTTGGTCCCATATGAATTTTAAAGTAGTTTTTTCTAATTCTGTGAAGAACGTCAATGGTAGTTTAAAGGGAATTGCATTGAATCTATAAATTACTGTAGGCAATATGGCCATTTTCACAACATTGATTCTTCCTGTTCATGACCATGCAGTGTGTTTCCATTTGTTTGTGTCCTCTCTGATTTCCTTGAACAGTGGTTTGTAGTTCTCCTTGAAGAGGTCATTCACTTCCCTTGTTAGCTGTATTCCTAGGTATTTTATTGTCTTCGCAGCAATTGTGAATGGAAATTCATTCATGATTTGGCTCTCTGCTTGTCTATTATTGGTGTATAGGAATGCTTGCAGTTTCTGCACATTGATTTTGTATCCTGAGACTTTGATGAAGTTGCTTATCAGCTTAAGGAGATTTGGGGCTGAGATGATGGGGTTTTCTAGATATAGGATCATATCATCTGCAGAGACAGTCTGACTTGCTCTCTTCCTATTTGAATAACCTTTATTTCTTTCTCTTGCCTGATTGCCCTGGGCAGAACTTCCAATACTGTGTTGAATAGGAGTGGTGCGAGAGGGCATCCTTGTCTTGTGCCAGTTTTCAAGGGAACGATTCCAGCTTTTGCCCATTCAGTATGTTATTGGCTGTGGGTTTGTCATAAATGGCTTTTATTCTTTTGAGGTATGTTCCATCAATACCTAGCTTATTGAGAGTTTTTAACATGAAAGGATGTTGAATTTTACCAAAGGCCTTTTGGTAGCAGGTCATCTTTACAAATGTTGTATCTACTCCTGACTCATTTTCAAAGCAGGACTCACCGTGACCCCCCCTCATCCCGCAATTGTTCCACTGCCTCGTCATTCGTCCCCAGCTTGTGAGAACGCTCACGTTGGCCCTCCGTGCCCCTCCTGATTGTCACCCACTGGGTGAATCAGTTTCCTGAGCAAAGGTTCGCCTCCAATGAGGTCAACGCACATGTGGCAGGGACCCAGTATGGTTTGTTCGGAAACCCGTTTCATGCGGAGCCAGCAGAAGCCACGTTAAACGCACGCGTTCTTCCATCCCTCTGCTCACCGGAAGCGAGCTTCCCAAGGCGGGCACGGCGCCGCCCCCCCAGTCACGCGGCTTCCGCTTCCGGTCGTGCCCTCTCGCCTCTAACTAGAGAACGCCTCGCGGTGTGAGTGAAACTCTGGCGGCCTCGCTAACACGCCAAACCTCTGTCCTCAGAATACGAAGGGCAAAGTGTGTCCCACTCACGCGCAGGCTTCCCCGCGGCGGCCACAGCGGCGGGGGGCGGGGGTCGTGCTCACCGTCGTCCAGTTCACCGGCATGTTTTCAATCAGCCATCACGAGCGAAGTGCTGCTTCGTGTCCACCAGGGAAAGCTTCAGGGAGCACGTTATTGGCACTCAAGATGCCAGCCATGGGCTGCCTGGAACGACGGTTTTTATCATTTATGTGAGTCCTGGGACATTTTCTTCCAACAGACCTAAGTATGTATGACACCAGCATATTACACGAAGCCGAGAGGGGGCTGCTCTGGGTGAGCGTGGAGGAACACACGACCCCTCCCACGCTCACGTGCCCACAACCTCCAGGACAGCCCAGCCTGGGTGAACTGCAACTTCTTTAGCTCAAGGGACATCTGCTTTTCCCCAGAGGGGCCCCTGGTGCAGAAGCAAGTTGGGGAGTGTGCAGAGCCGGGAAGAAGCAAAGCGAGGGTATGGGTGGGAGGGAGTGGGAATCCTTGGATTTGGCAGAGAACAAGTAAATTTTCGGAAATCATAGTCAGCGTGGTCTCCACAAAGATGAGAGGGCAGGAACTCGATTGGAAGGGGGCCAGTGAAGCTGCTGTCAGGAAGCTCTCACAGGGCAGTAAACAGCTCCTGGCACCCGGAATAGGAGGAGGAAGTCGAGAACCCACAGCCGCCCTGCCCAGCCTGGCTCCTCCTCACCCGCCCAGGCTGCTGTGCTCCTCACGGGAGGAAAACCCGCCTGCGTCCAGCTACCTCCAGGAAAGCAACAACTGCCCGTCCTCGACTAAAGGCCAAACCTTTTAACATTTTTGTCCTTGACCACGGCATCAGCTGTGCTGTCTACAGAAGGAACTATATTATTCCCACTTAAATAGCTCGGTGTTTCGTCAAGAGAGTGCAAACACGAGGGCTTCGGTAGAGGGAGGAGACACTGGCTCAGGAACCAGAGCTCACGGTTCCTGCTGTCTCTGCCCCTTGACCTCGGTGTGAGGCGGCTGCGACTGGGTCTCTGCTGTGTAAATATTGTGCCTGAGGGCCATTTTGACAATGACCGTTTCTACTTTAAAAACAAAGCAGACCAAGGGAGTCTCTGGTCCAGGGATAAGGTGCCTGCAGTGCTTTTCCGACACCTAAATCTCTGCTTTGTCCTGAGAGAAACAAGCGTCACGAACTTAGCTCACTGTTGGTGAAGTGACGGCCGCCAGGGAAGAGTGCAGGGATCTCAGGAGAGACGCTCGGGTCCTTTTTCAAAACCAGTGTGATGCACGATATGTGACTACTCGCCAGAGTCTCGGGAGAGTGTGACGAGCGATGGGTGGCTACTCACCAGAGCGACTGGATTTCTGTCTGAGGCTACTGCATATGCTGGGTCTTAGCAAGCAACGGCCATGCGGCCATCAAGGCACAACAGAGAGCTCTTCTTCTAGGAAGTTCGAGGCATTAAAAATTTCCTCCACTGGGAGCATGAGCATAAATATCTTCCATATTGTTCCCAGTTTTTCTGAAGGCGAAAGAAAATAAAGAAGGCCAGTCAATTAGAAATCTGAATTTTTCTATTAAAGAAGGCAGGGGTTAGCCGGGCACAGTGGCTCACGCCTGTAATCCCAGCACTTTGGAAGGCCAAGGTGGGTGGATCACTTGAGGTCAGGAGTTTGAGACTATCCTGGCTAACATGGTGAAACCCTGTCTCTACTAAAAATACAAAAATTAGCTGGGCGTGATGGCAGGCGCCTGTAATCCCAGCTACTCGGGAGGCTGAGGCAGGAGAACTGCTTGAACCCGGGAGGCAGAGGTTGCAGTGAGTGGAGATCGCGCCACTGCACTCCAGCCTGGGTGACAGAGTGAGACCCCATCTCAAAATAAATAAATAAATAAAAATAAAGAAGGCGGGGGTTCCTGTCTCTATTTTTCCAGGAGAACAAATATTACCAATGTACAAAACTAGGGGGAGACAGGAGTGACTTTACCTCACTGCCAACGCCTCCAACACAGTCTCCATTCACAGGTCAAGACAGAAAAGGAGTTTCCTGGAAGACTGCAGAGTCTGCCACAGACCCAGGGCAGCTGGACTTCCTGCAGATCTAAAGCCAGGGCTGGAAAAGCCACCCAGAGCCCATCAGGCCTCCTGGACCTGCTTCTTGGTCCCTCTTCTCAAAGTCCTCTCCCCTGAAGGCTATTTCCCCTGCCTCTCCCTCATCTCATCTCCCACAGTCTCCTAGTGTCTCTGCCAGCCACATGCCGAGAGAACCAGCTGCGCCCCAACACTTCCAGTCTCTAGAGAGATCATTTCCGTGATCCATTCAGCTGGGCCCAGGCCGAGGGCAGGGGCAGGAGTGGTCATGTGTTAAGAACAGGGCAGACTGGGTGGGTTGTGGGTCGTGGGGAGCTGGGCAGACACCCTGCAGGGCGTCCACAACACCCGTTCCTAATGGGAATGTAACTGAAAGATAGCGGAGATGAGCTTTTCCCAGAGTTTGGGAAAAGCATAAGGAGTGAGGAAGGCTGCACCCTCACCAGCCTTCCCCAGTGACGACGGAGCTGTACACCCTCAAGCAGATGCTGTCAACTCCTGGGAGACACAGTTTCTTTACTGAAAACACGAGCCTAGACTAGGACTGGACGGTTCTTGCTTTGTTTTTTTGTTTCTTTCTACACCATTCACATTCCATTGGTAGAAGTGCTCCTTCCATACCCGGCAGGGGGACCGAGGGGGCCATGTGGCACTGAGCGGGCTGCCGGGACCAAGGGGGCTCATCAGCCCCTTAGGTGGGGTGGGGGCATGCACCGTTTGAGCACCACCGCCGGACTCTGCACCCAGCGAGGGACCCTCTCCTCCCTGCCTCTGACCACCACTGTGAATTACAACTCCAAGCAGTGCTTCCCTGGCCACGCAGGAGGAGTTACAGGGGTTGAGGAAGCGTGGCCTAAGGAGAGGCAGATGGGGGAAGGATGTGTGCTCTGCCGTCTTCAATACTGAGGGGCCTCGTGTGCAGAAGGACGTCGTTTCTTCAGTGTGACTTCAATGGGCAGAATTAGAATAAAAAGGTAAAGTTTATTATGGAAGAAGGTAAATCTCAGCTCATCTCAACCACTTTCTCTAAGTTAGAGTTGAGTTGACCCCCGATTCAAAGGTGCTGCTTCGGGAAGGCACAGTGCATGTCCCTGTGCTGTCTATGGCAAGAACTTGATTCAAGGAGGATGGAAGCCAGAGGCACCCAGCTCCTCCACCATTCAGCCCGAGGCCCAGGAGCACCGTCCTTTCCCAGTGCTTCTACCTCTGGTCTTATTCGCCTCTTGTGACACAGCTATGATGTGACGTCCTGCATTTTACTGATGTGGACGCTGAGGTCCAAAGACAAGCAGCCTCCCAGGGACACACGGAGCTGGAGTCCCCCGAGTCTCTGGGCTCCTGGCTGGGGTTCCTGCCGCCTGCCCTGCTGCCAGCACAAGCGTCCTCGTCGCTGTCTGGGGTGCACGCTGGGGCATGTGCTTAGTTCGTACTTCCCATTCATGGAAGAGATGATGAGCCCCAGTAAGAAAATAATTTGAAAATAATTTACTGGTGGGTGCACGCTAAGTTCCCACAAGGAAACAGACATGCAGTTCGGTGCTGAGAGCTCAGTGACCATCCTGGGGACAAGTGGTGTGGGAGCGATCACACTGCACACCAGGCCACCTGCCCCCCAGCTTCCCAGCTCACCCTCACGCCTGTCTTCCTCACCCCAGCCCACCCACACGGCCCCTTCACCATGCACAGACCCTGGCAAAGCGCAGAGTGCCTTCACTCGAACTTTCTCAGGACTACAGCCTGCCCGGCCAGTCGGCCCTTCCTAGCCTGCTTGGAAGGTGAAGAAAGTGGTCTCCATGTCACCCGCATAAAAGGCGACGACTATCTGCTCGGATGTCATAGGCTGACCTTCCCAAAACAATCTCCCTCAGAACCAACCTAGGTGCTCAGTGTGAACTCTCACCCATTAGATTGACAGAGTGGTTCTCGACTGGGGTTGATTTTTGCTGCCATCTCTCCCCAGGGGACAGCAACGCCTGTAAACTCTTTGAGCTGTCACACTGGATGTGAGGCACACCTACAGCCATAGAATCCTAGAAGCCAGGGGTGCCACCCAGATCCCACAGCGCAAAGGACATCTCCCCACAGCACAGAATTGTTTGACCCAAAATATCGCTTTTCATCAGTGGCCTTCTAAACTCTGCCTCTTAGGTGATAGGCTGCTCCCACCTAGGACTGCGTGTTAAAATGTGAAAACGGGCGGAAGCTTGGCAGCATGCACAGCTTTAATCAGGGATTCCGTCTGGAATACCTGCTGGGAGTCACTCTCTCCAGGTTAGTGGCCATCGTGATAAGCGATTCTGGGGGAAGGAGGAGGAGGAGAAGTGGGAGGAGGTCTTGGTGCAGCAGGAGGCATTTAAGATGGGATGGACTGAGGAGCCGCAGTCGCTGGATTGGACCCAAGCCACCAAGCTGGACCACAAATGAAGCCCTGGATCCACACCTCCTCCTGGTCACAGTGACAGTTCCCACCTAGGACATCTGACCTTCTAAAGGCCAAGGCAGTTCTTTACTAAGCAGACGAATACTACTTTCTTCTCAATTTCATTTTCCTTCTCAGTTGGAGGAGAGGGTGCAGTTTGTATTTCATTGAATTTTCTCCTTTTCTTGAAGGGAAGGATATGTTGCCAAAAATACTCATGAACTGCTTCCTTGTTTTTGTGATGGAGAAAATGATTATTTATTTTACAATTGCATCTGCATTAAGATGGCAACAAGGGGCCGTGGGCTGAGGGGTTAGGGTCCTGTCCCCTCTCTGTGCGCTGGAGAGCTTACTGGGCATCTTGCAGGTCTCCTGGACAGAGGCCCCAGGGCTCAGAAGCACACACACACATCCTGTCTAGTTTGTGGGACCCTGCAGAGCCCAGGCTCCAAGGGCTGCTGAGATGGCTCAGCACACGCGGGTCTGAGCATCAAAGGCTTCTGTGCCTTGCGCCGCCCCCGACCCCGCCTGCAGCCTCAGCTGCCCTCTGCCTTCCTGGCAGGCACTGCCCATGGGTTCTCCGCCAGGGCCTGGCTGCTTTCCAGCCTGTGCCCCAGCCCCGGAGGGACCGTCCCCTGCAGATGACATGAGCTTTGCCTAAGGCCAGACTTGAGGACCAGTAACTAGGGACAAAAAAATAGCTGCTCAGAATAGCACAAAAGCTGTTGTTGTTCAGTTCTGAAAGTCTTACTGCATCCTATGGCCAGATGAAAAAGGAACCGAGGCGGAGACCCCGGGCAGGACGTGGTGCTTTTGCAGACAGTAAGGGAACCAGGCAGCCTCCAGCTCTGGTGTGCTCTCTGCCCGCATGGGTCTGCAGCCCCTGCTCCCTCTCCTCACCACGGGCTGCGAGCTCTTGGCATGGCTGCCCCAGCATCGGGGTTGCCCAGGTTTCCTGGCAAAAACCAACTGAACGTTCAGATCACCTCCCTATTCAGCTGGCTTGGAGCAGAGAGCAGGAATGGTGCCTGGCCTCCTTCCCAGGCAGCCTTCCTGGGAAGCCTCCAGGGCCCTGGAAGTTGAGTGTCCGGTGCCTTCTTGTCTGTGGTCTCCTCTCTGTGATTCCCTGGGACATCCAAGGCCTGAAACAATGTGGGGCTGAGGAAGCAAGGACGCCTTCGCCAGCCAGGCGGTCAGACACCATGAGGTCCCAGGGAGGGGCTGTTCAGACACCGACGGCCGAGGGACTCTTGTTTGCTTTATAAGAGAATCCATCTTGTGAGCAGGGTGGGCTTGCAGGCAGTGGTTTTGTGTTTTTTTGAATTTCTAAGCTCAGTAGGTATGAGATGGTGTCAGTGGAGAAGGGGCCGGCTGTAAAGATGTGATCAAGGCCTAGTTTGCACATCAAATAGATTTTCTTTAATTAACCACACAAAATGATAAAAACTTTAAAATGGCTTTCTTCCCACCTGTGAAAAGAAAAACTTCAGCTGAATTAAATCTAAAGGAGTTTAATTGAGCAATGAAGGATTCACGAATTGGGCAGCCCCCAGAATCACAGCAGATTCAAAGAGATTCCAGTGCAGTCATGTGGCAGAAGATTTATAGACAAAAAAAAGAGAAATGATGTACAGAAATCGGAAGTGAGGCACAGAACAGCTGGCGACTCAGCGTTTGCCTTATTTGAACACAGTTTGAACACTCAGCAGGGTAAGTGGCTAAAGTACGGCCACTGGGATTGGCCAAGGCTCAGTGATTGTTACAGGCTCAGACTCCTAAGTTTTCTATCTTGTCTACCTATTAAGTCAGGTTGTAGCTCATCCACAAGGACTCAAATAGAGAAGTACAGAGACCTTCTCAGGACATATTTACTTTGCTTTAACAATTCCCCTCTTTTGGTCATTTTCTCAATTTTTGAGAGATTAACCAAAACTTTAGTCAGCGATGTCACTATCACCATAGTAAATGTACTTATTTGGTCTTGAAACCCACTGGAAAATAGTAGAACAGTGAGTTTTGCAAAGGTAAGAAGAAGGACTGAACAGAAGGCACCTCCTCATACTGAACGTCCTGTTTACAGGAGGAAAACAAAACCTGGTCTGTTCTGTCCTAGGATCTGTACGTTTCCTTCAAGTCTTTGATTATGTCACATTTAGCACAAGAAACTCTATTTTTGTCTGATTGGGTCTGTTGGGGCCTATTGTATGAGCTCAGTTCAAAACAATGGCCTCCCATCATTTTGTTTAAAATAAATTCCCCCTTTTTGGTCAGGTTCTCACTTAGGTGAGAGTGTGACCAAAACTTAGGGCATTAGCGCCGCTCTCAGTTACCATGATTTTGGGTTTCTGGTCTCAGCACATCCCTCATAGGTTATGGTGTCCTCATGGTCACACATTTCTTTCAGCTCTAGTCATTCCAATTGAAGAGAGACCATTTGACATTCTAAAGATAGCTGCATGCAAACATTTGAAATCTTTGAGAGAATACAGTGCACCAGGGAGACTATTATTATGACTATTGGGAGGATAATACCAAGAGTCTGCAATATACTCCTTACCCAGGGTCCCCATAAACCAAACCTCCTAAAATCAAATAGATCAAAGAATGAGCTTGATAAGGAGTCTACTCACTTGACTAAGTCGTTTTTTCATTAATCCCCTTCAACTGAATCTCTGTAATACCCGATGTTTTCTTCATAGGCCGTAAGTGCCAGCAACTGCACAGATACTTCTCTGTTTAGCCACTTTTCAGCATAACTTTTATAAGAGAATTTAAAGTTTGTTGTGTAACCATAGCTTTTCAGTAGAATCTGCTATAGAGCCTATCATGAGGGATACATTTCTAATCATTGCCTCTTTTACTCCAAACAATGGAAATAAGGACCTAACAAGTGATGCCCTTCCAGAAGAGTGAAGGCTTCCTGGCAATGTTCTCTTTAACTCATGATGTGGGTTAAGAAGAATTAATCAATGTTCTGTTTCTGACTGATTATGAGGCAATGTATGTACCATTAAAGTTTCTCACCTACATCAGGCCTTCATCTTTTATCTATCAAAGTATAAGATTGTCCATGTATAAGACTGGCTGCAAAATCCTTCACAAATAAAAGTATACCCCATAAGTGCACACAACAGACCCCCTTTCCATTTCTATTGTTCACAGAGGCATAAGCAAGGAGAAAATATTCAAAACTAAGAGTCTCGTGATAGAATTCTTGATCCGTGATCTTGGGAAAAGTTGGTCACATCAAGGATGCCAACTACTTCTGGGGAGAAACTTCCCTGGTTAGCTTTACCTTAAGGGTTCCAATTGGTGTCCAGTTCCAAGAGTGTGGAGGGACCCTTCTCAGTCGTGAGATGATGAACTCAAGGTTCAAGTTTCCAAAGTTTTGTTGCAGTGAGGATGGCAATGGCAGTCTTTCTCTGACGTTCTCAGAAGATCCCATCTTTGTGTTCTAGATTGTGAAGGGGTTGACTCTCCTCAGTGAACCATAAAGAAGCTTCCGTTACCTGATGAAAATACACTGTGGCACAATAACTTAGTGTTATAATATCAGCCCTATTGCATGGGAAGGCTTTTATACAACCAGAAAACATGCATTGAAAATGACAATTGAATGAAATTCCTTAATAAATGTTTAAATGGCCCATCAGGTAACCAAATTTATCTGAAGCTTTGATTGTCTTCCCAGGAATATGGAACCAAACATTGGTTATAAACCATTTTTGCAATTTATAAATCACCACATCAATATATTTAATTTGGATTATTTTATCTTTTCATGATGAGTCATGGAATGCAGAACTCTTAATATTAAAAGCTTTAAGGACTCGGGAAGGACAAGGAAGCCATCCTAGTTCTCCATGAGTCCATGCTTAACATTGGACTTATGTCCTCTTGAATAACAGTTGTTTCTCCAAATGAGGTGCATAGCACTGTTAACTAATGTGTTATCATAGGTAACTTGACTTAGACCATAGATTTCATTCAAATTGTATATCTAAACAATTTCCGTATTGGCTGATTTAGCATGAAAATCTGGCAAAGTATTTCATTGGTATTCAGTTAATTTTTGTCCCACTTTGAGTTAGCAGTTTGATAAACTGGTCAGTCCTTTCATTCAAGTTCCAGGAACTGTTATGCGGTTCAAATGACATGACTCTGCAGTTGTTAGAAACCTGTGTTCAAGAGCGCTTGTCAGCGTCCTCCCCATCCTTTCATGAACATCCTAAAGGACACCATGCTTTTGAAGTTTTCAGAAACTGCATCAGCTTTAAGCAATTAACTGTGGAAATGACTTTAAATAGTTATAGTTAAAAACACAATTCCAGCACTTTGGGAGTCCGGGTCAGGTGGATCACCTGAGGTCAGGAGTTTGAGAACAGCCTGGCCAACATGGCAAAACTCCATCTCTACTAAAAAATCCAAAAATTAGCCAGGTGTGGTGGTGGGTGCCTGTAATCCCAGCTACTTGGGAGGCTGAGACAGGAGAATCACTTGAACCTGGGAGGCGGAGGTTGCAGTGAGCCGAGATCACCCCACTGCACTCCAGCTTGGGCAACAGAGTCAGACTCCACCTCAAAAAAAAAAATGAAATAAAATAAAATAAATAGTTATAGTTAAAACCACTATAACTAGGAAACTTTAACACTTAAGCTAGGAAATTTGTTTATTTCTGTGGTCTACAATAACTTGACATAATAACCATAATTATGATTGATAGCATATACTCAAACATATTAGAATTTTAGAAATTCCATACAATTTTGGAACATATATTAATATAATTCACCAAAGTATAACCTGAAGATTAAACACTATTTTTATTTTAACAATGCTTCCCATGCAACTTAACATGTCAGATAATCCCGTTGACCTCTCTTTTGGATGTTTCAAGGGCCCTCTGTAGCATCCCAAAGTCGGAGGTCAGAAAAGACCATTTTGAAGCTGACATACAATTTTGAGAAGCCTATCAAATATGTTAAAGGTTTAAAACACTTGATGTTATGAAATGGAATTCCACATGTCCCCAGGCCTTAAAAGTCAAGGCAGTTTATCACCTTAAAGCATTTAGCGAACCTAGTATTTGACCTGCATAATTGAGACCAAATGTCTTTATTTTTGCCAATAATCTTTAAAACTTTTTATTTCCCAAAGATTATTAAAATCATGTGAGCTAAAGGGCATTAGTTTTTATTTTTCTTTAAAAATATTTGATCGAAGTGCTTATTTTTCTTTAAGCCAATTAATTAGAGCTCTTTCATATAAACATTACACACACAACACATTTGTAACTACACGGACAGACAGACAGAAGATTATTACAGTAGTTGTAAGTTTTCTTTTACCAGTTTGTTAGTTTCTTAATTGGATTACTGGTATAGGGTCCAGTCCTTGGAAGAATGGGGCCAGGAAGGGGTCTCTGGTGCCCCTGTTTTTCTTAAAGAGTCCCAGGCTCTTGGAGCTTGAATATCCACTTTTAATGAAGCTGACTATTATCTATAGCACTGTTTAATAAAAGTTCTTTTAAGTTTCTTATTACCCGACTTTAGCCAGGCCCAACAGCCAATATTTTTGTGCTTACAGAAAGGAAAATTCAAGACTGTTCATGGAGGGGAAGAGGATTTAAAAATGGCAAATGTCACCCAAATATCAATCAGAAAGTACTCATTCCCTAAGCCGGGAATTGAACCATGAACCTGGCAGCCATTGTGATAGAGAGACTGAGGAAAACATTTCCACGTGGTTACAAGCTCAAGCCCCCAGGGACGTTTAAGACAAGATGGAGACCTCATCTACTTTTATTTTCTTTTTCTTCTTTCAGGGACCTGAAGCAAAGTTTATAACTGACCAATTTGCATCTCGAACAGTGGGCTTATGGTGTTTTAGGCATGCATTTTATCCCAAGGTACCCCTTTTAATGACAGAACAATACAGAAAGACACACAAAGCACACCAGATTCACTACAGTTTAAGACCAGCCTCAGAATTCTTTTTCATATTAACTAAAACTTTACAGAGGAGATAAACAGTGATTTTTACTATTCATTTAACCAGTTTGCACAGAGAAAAAGAGGCCAGGATTTCTCTGACTCACGAGGCATCCTTAGCATTTTGTCGGCATGCTAGGCTTCTGGGTTCCCTTTCCCCGAGGGCCCCACTGACCCGGCTTGCTGCACCAAAGCCAATGCAGCCAAGCCACAGCACAAAGGAAAATTATCTTTTTCTGCTCTGGCCAGAGCAAAATACATGTGACAAAACATAGATGTTAGCCACTCTGCTTTGCCCCCAATATCAAACTGGCAAGGCTCAAACTTGCCCCCAGATTGGCCCCATCATCTCTAAATCTTTCTAAAAGCTTCTGCATATTAATATGCATCCCTAGATGAGACTAATTTGTGAACCCTCATTTTTAAATGCACTTTTGTGCATTGTTCATTTGGAACATTCCACTGTAAGTTACCTTTAGTAAGATTTTGCCATTTCTTTAAGACTTCATGGCCTCCCAGGCCTAATGTATAAGCCAGAAGGAACTCAGTTTTCTAGAAACTAAGGATCCCATTTTTGATAGCATTAGTATTAAGAGAAATACGTAATGTAGATGACAGGTTGATGGGTGCAGCAAACCACCATGGCATGTGTATACCTATGTAATAAACATGCATGTTCTGCACATGTACCCTACAACTTAAAGTATAATTTTAAAAAAAAAAGGATCCTATTTTTACCTAAAATATTGGCTTTACTCTCAGATTCCCTTGATTAACTTAGCCAATTGATATGGTTTACTGTGTCCCCACCCAAATCTCAACTTGAATTATATCTCCCAGAATTCCCACATGTTGTGGGAGGGACCCATTGGGAGGTAACTGAATCATGGGGGCTGGTCTTTCCCATGCTATTTTCATGATAGTGAATAAGTCTTGCAGGATCTGATGGGCTTATCAGCAATTTCTGATTTTGCTTCCTCCTCATTTTTCTCCTGCTGCTGCCATGTAAGAAGTGCCTTTCACCTCCTGCCATGATTCTGAGGCCTCCCAGCCATGTGGAACTGTAAGTCCAATTAAACCTCTTTTTGTTCCCAGTTTCAGGTATGTCTTTATCAGCAGCATAAAAACAGATTAATACACCAATGATTTTTTTCTACCTAAGCGCACAGGGAAAATGAAACAAAGGGGTGGAACACAAAAATCCCTGTGAATTTCCAAAAGCCAAATTTTATAACCCCTACAATATCAGATCCCACTTCTGACACCATCTATTAAAAGAAAAACTTGAGCCAAATTAAATCTAAAGGAGTTTAATTAAGCAATGAAGGATTCACAAATTGGACAGCCCCCAGAATCACAGCAGATCCGAAAAGACTCTAGCACGGCCATGTAGTGGAAGAATATTTATAGACAAAGAAAGGGAACTGACGTACAGAAATTGGAAGTGAGGTACAGACAGCTGGATTGGTTACAGCTCAGGGTTTGCCTTATTTGAACACAGTTTGGACACTCAGCAGGGTGAGTGGTTGAAGTACAGCTGCTGGAATTGGCCAAGACTCAGCTGTTGTTACAGGCTCAGACTCCTAAATTAGGTTTTCAATCTTGTCTACCTATTAAGTTAGGCTGCAGTTTATCCACAAGGACTCATAAATCTGGAAGTACAGAGTCCTTCTTGGGCCATATTTAGTTGCTTTAACACACCTATAACAAATTAACTTTACCAAGGTGTCTTCCAGTCTCAGCTTCTCACATGCTAGTAAGAGGAAGTTTTTCCAAGGTATCTTCTGGGCTCAGCTCCCCACTTACTGGTAAAAGGAGCAGTTTTGTGCATATCTTGCTGGGTTTGTCTTTCCAGTCATCACAAGAGTGGCTGCACCACACCCCATCACTTTCTGTGTGGAGTGGGCCCAGCTCCAGCTCTGTGCAACAGTAAACCAGTGACACTGGAATTCATGTGTTTATACACTCAGCTTTCACATGCTTCTGCATCAATTTTTTAAGACTATTTCCAGAGTGGGATTGAGACCTAAGTGAATCGTCCCAGGAATAGGGTTCTTGAGAAATGATTGCATGAGTAAGGCTGCAGTTAACACCACCATGACTAATTACCAGCAAATTGAACTCCTTCTGTTCTGTGAAAGTTGCTAGTACCAAAATAGGTTCACTCATATCAAACTCTAACAAAATGGGGTGGGGAGGCCATGACGGGGCGCCCTCATACACAAACACCTGGACAAGCCTCATCTCAAGGCACCCCTGCACGGGCCTCAGGTTCGCCCATATTAGGATGCATTGCACGAAAATTCCTCAAGACAGGTCGGTATTACAGGTGAGCGGCCTGCACAAGGAGCTAACGCCAGCTCTGGGACAAGCTCTGCTAACCAGTGATTTTTGTTACAAAGCAGCTTCTGTGGAGTTCTCTCTGTCTTTAAAGATCTCCCCTTTGCCCTGGCCCCTCCAGTGTGCCTGTGATCTATCATAGCATGCAATCCCGTGCTATTCTCACTTAAATTTATTTGTTCTGGAGAGCCTGTTCCTTTGAATTTCCTTTTAGGTGGACAGTTCAAGACCCCTAACACATTAATCCACTTAATCCAAAGAGCTCCTCTTGTATCAGGGAAGGCCACAGGGACATCCCTGTCTTGTTCCTGACCTTGGAATTGCATTGCTTAGTTTCCAAACATGGGATTTCCCAGTTATCTTTTGTTATGAATTCCTGGCTCTCTGCCACTGTGAACATTATCTGTATGATTTCAGCCCTTTGAAACATGTGGACACTTTTTCATGGCCCAGCATACGGTCAAATTTTGCAAATGTTGTAAACATTCTTTCTGTATTGAAAACTTTTATGGTTTCCTGTACTCTGCAGCTATTTCCGATTTTGTCTTTTGTGCCTTGAAGCAGAGTGAGTCTTATCATCTGTGTCTGAGCCATCTGCTCCAAGGTTCCTGTGGTGCTAGTCGTGTCTTCTCTGCAGGATTGATTCACTTTGCAAGATGTTTGGTGCACTGAGACACTGGAAAGTTGGCAGCATCTTGAGATGTCATCAGTCCAGGGCCACGTTAAGATAATTTCGCGACTTGAGGGTTTTTTAGGCACTGTGACATTAAGCTAATTTCACAACTGTGTGAACCTGGGCCGCAGGGCTCTTCCTTGTCTTGTCCCCTGCTCTGCTGTAACCTGGCAGTTGTTGAAGGATGGGTTATTTCTGATCCACGTTTTCCTGAGGGTGAAGACTTCAGCTCCTATGAAGACTGCCCACCTGCCCCATCCCCCACAAAGACCCCACCGCTGGCATCCTGAGTGCCTTCAGGAGAAGCCCTCTGAGTGCTGGCTCGGGGGTCTGACAGATTTTTTTGACCACAGCCTCAAAATTCCTGACTCCTGGGTGGGCTCTTCAGTATATGCAAGATGGCCTCCAGGATTCTGGCTTTGTTCAGTGGAAGGGTCGACTTAAGCAGGTCACGCAGCAGTTCCTGGTGGTGGTGACTCCCAGCTTCTTTAGCTCAGCTCTTGAGTGATTTGCACTACACAGAAGGTACTGGAGACACAGTTACCTTTTCTGGAAATCAATGTTTGCAAGCACATTTGCCCTCCAAAGGTTGAAGGTTGAGTGAATTTGAAGTGGTTGGAGATTTGTTTGTAAACCACTCTTCTGCAGAATGAGAACGAAGTTGCTGCTTGGTTTTGAAGATACGGCCTTTTGTGGGAGGGCAGAACAGAAAAATCAAAGCTTGGATTTAGAGTTAAGGACACAGGAAAAGAATTATGAATATTAAAGACTGAGTTAATATGTGTCATATAGCAAATACTTTACATATTGCATGCAACATAGTAAGCTGTTCTATGTAACGGCCTCCACATTTCAGGATATCACTTGGTGACATTTCAAGGCATTTCTAAGAAACAAAACGTTAAACTTAATATTGGGCCAAAATATTGATTAAGGCAGCAGCTGAACACCCAAATATAATCTGGATAATCAAAGTCAAAAATAGGCGTTGGTATTTACTTTCTGTAGAATATAAGTAGAAACTATATAATACCAAACATCCAAACCTAGCCCAGTATAAAAAATAATTCTCCACTTAATATAGAAATCACAAAATGCAGTGTGGTGCCATGGCTTGGATCCCGGAACAGAGGTGCACGGTGGAAGTCCGCACTGCTTCTCAACACTGGACCCCAGACTGCAGCTCACTTCCATGCAGTGTTGCTTCATGTGTGCAAGCCCTTGTCAGTGTTTCATTAGTCCTCAGGACAGATGCCAAGGAGCTGCTGCTTAACTGCCTTGTCTGGTCTGATCTTAAGAAGCAAAACTTGATTGGAGCCCTGTGGTGCCCTGAAATCCAGAGCATGTTGTTGGGGGTGATTGATTTTCCTGGGTCTTTAGCAACATGTCTGATGTTTGCAGATTCTGTACCATGGGCCCTGCCGTCAGTCAAGTCCAAGAGCAGACGTGAGTCGAGTGGTCAGTGGGTTGCAGGTAACCATAGGCCAGCCGAGGGTGGCAGCCGTAGGTGGACAGCTGGGACTCCTTCCCTGTGGGTGACAGCTGTGGGTGACAGCCGTGGGTGGACAGCATGGGTGGCAGCCGTGGGTGGCAGCTAGGACTCCTTCCCTGTGGGTGACAGCTGTGGGTGGACAGCATGGGTGACAGCCGTGGGTGGACAGCTGTGGGTGACAGCCGTGGGTGGACAGCTGTGGGTGGGCAGCATGGGTGGCAGCCGTGGGTGGCAACTAGGACTCCTTCCCTGTGGGTGACAGCTGTGAGTGACAGCCGTGGGTGGCAGCCGTGGGTGGCAGCCGTGGGTGGCAGCTAGGACTCCTTCCCTGTGGGTGACAGCTGTGGGTGGACAGCATGGGTGGCAGCCGTGGGTGGACAGCTGGGACTCCTTCCATGTGGATGACAGCTGTGGGTGACAGCCATGGGTGGACAGCATGGGTGACAGCTGTGGGTGGACAGCTGTGGGTGACAGCCGTGGGTGGACAGCATGGGTGACAGCTGTGGGTGGACAGCTGTGGGTGACAGCCGTGGGTGGACATCATGGGTGGCAGCTGTGAGTGGACAGCTAGGACTCCTTCCCTGAGGGTGGCAGCTGTGAGTGACAGCCGTGGGTGGCAGCTGGGACTCCTTCCCTGTGGGTGACAGCTGTGGGTGACAGCCGTGGGTGGACAGCATGGGTGGCAGCCGTGGGTGGCAGCTAGGACTCCTTCCCTGTGGGTGACAGCTGTGGGTGGACAGCATGGGTGGCAGCCGTGGGTGGACAGCTGGGACTCCTTCCATGTGGATGACAGCTGTGGGTGACAGCCATGGGTGGACAGCATGGGTGACAGCTGTGGGTGGACAGCTAGGACTCCTTCCCTGAGGGTGGCAGCTGTGAGTGACAGCCTTGGGTGGCAGCTGGGACTCCTTCCCTGAGGGTGGCAGCTGTGGGTGGACAGCTGTGGGTGACAGCCGTGGGTGGACAGTGTGGGTGGCAGCCGTGGGTGGCAGCTGGGACTCCTTCCCTGTGGGAGGCAGCTGTGAGTGACAGCCGTGGGTGGACAGCCGTGGGTGGCAGCCGTGGGTGGCAGCCGTGGGTGGCAGCTGGGACTCCTTCCCTGACCTGAGCTCACTTCATTTGACCAGGAGCATCAAAAACAGTGTGTGCATCCAAACCACTGTGAATCCCCACACTGTAAAAACAAAAACTTCAAACGTCACATATTTTGTCCACTTTGCCCTCAATGCACGCTTTATCCATGTGAGTGTGAGCAGACATAGAGCACAGCCCTCACTCCTCCATCCACCAACCGATGGCAGCAGCAAGCACAGTCAGGCTTCTCAGCACACAGGATGAAGGAACAAGGGAAGACAGCCCCACGGTCTGACTCCGAGTCCCAGCTGAGGAACCAGCCAATAGCATGGACAGCACTACTTCCCATCAGCATGACTGTCAGGTATTTGTCGAGCACCTACTGAATATTAGGTATTTGTTGAGCACCTACTGAATATTAGGCTTTTTCTAGTCATTTTTGACCAATGACAATATCAGAGTAAAGGAAATTGATTATTCTAATAGAATTCCTCTGAATGTAACATTTAGATTGTATAGGCTAAGAAATCATAACTAAGCCTCATGTCTTAAAGTGCTGGTTGTATTTCTAGGTAGGAATTCTTACATCTAAATTCTACAGTATATGCAAGTTATCTAAAAATTAATACTTGTGAACAATTATGTATTAAAATAAATTTTTCTTTTCAAAAACCCAGGCAACTTTAAAATTTTCATTAAATCAACAATTTTAACAGCCTATAAAGGCTTCTGCCAAATGTTGAAGATCATCAGAGCTAGCTGAGTACAGAGCACCTCAGCCACCTCAAGAGTGGCAGGGGAGGAAATAAAGTCATATTTTGGCTTCACTCACATCTTATTACTTCCAGATCTGATTCTTTCTTTCAGACTGGCAGCCACTACATCCTGCTAATATTCAGAGCAAATTTCTCATGAAATGCCCTGTATCTGCTCCTCACATATGCAAAGCTGAACAATGAGTTCCCATCCATGGATTCTGCACTGGAGTCTCATGTGATGAGAGCTGTAGTGTAATGAAGACCACAGCTCTGACATGAAAATGATGATGCTATTTTCTCATTAACCAAATCCTCTGATGTGTCGTCGCCAACATTGCGCACGTGGCTTCAACGAAGATGAAACGACCGACAGCTGTCCTAGCGCCATGTTCACTCCATTCGTCTCAGGAAAAACCCATCCCAACCTGATTAGAGCAATGGAGAGAGGGTGGCTTAAAACAGCTAAGCCTTTGCATAACTCGTCTTCAAGTCAATCAGAAAAATTAGGGAGGATCTGCTGCCTAACCTTCAAACAAATATTTTGGAATTGTCTGAATTATATAAATTATTCAAGATAGAAGAGAAAGGAGATAAGGAAAGCAGAAAGAAAGGTACTAATTAAGAAAGGAAAGAACTGGAGAGCGGGAGAGGTTGGGAGGAAGGGCAGAAGAAAGAGGTAGGGGAGAGGAAGACAGCAAGGAGCAAAGGAAGGGTGGGCAGGAGGAAGGTTAGTTGGAGAATTTCTCGGATCTTATGTGTGATTATCTCCTTCCTCTGTAGCTGAGGAGTGGCATCAAAATGGCAACACTAAACTATCCAAGATCTCCTGAAAAAAAAAAACACCCCAGTGGAGAAGAAGATCCCACTCTTCACCATTATTCTTCGCGTGTTGTTTGAGAATCCCAGACTGTCTTCTGGCTCCCGTTCTTCCCCCTCCTTGGACGCCATGACAACTGTCACATGACCCTGCAAACACAGCGTCTCCAGGTCTGCACCAGGCCCCAGCTGCTCCTCTGTCTGGAATGAGCAAGACGATTTTGTTGCTGAGATGCACGGAGCCCCCCGGCTGACCTTTCCCTGTGCCAGTGAGTACCTGTGGCATGCAAGGGAGAAAGCCTATCAGGACCACAGGAGAAAGGTAGGAAAGTCCCCAATCCAGCCCTGACAGCTCAGCGGGCGGGCACCAAGCAGCGCCCACGAAATGCCTCTGCTTTCCCTGGAGTCCTGGAGGTGATTTTCTTTTTGGAGACAGCATGGTTGAAATGACATTTCCTAACAAGATTCATCATCTATGTTGCCATACAATAAAAATCTCATTAAATAGTTGACGGCTTTCTTTCTTTCTTTTTTTTTTTTGAGATGACAGCTTTCATGTGCCATGTTTTAGGGCCATCCTATTTCTAATCACAGCATATATTTAAGAAGTACTTAATTTTTCCTAAGTGACTTGAAAGCATCTTAAGACAAAAACACCAGAAGCATCCTTTTCTTTTTCTTTCTTTTTGTTTTTTGTTTTTGTTTTTGTTTTTGTTTGTTTTTGAGAGGGATGTTGCCATAGGGGTGTTGCCATGTTGGTCAGGCTAGTCTTGAACTCCTGATTTCAGGTGATCCACCTGCCTCAGCCTCCCAAAGTGCTGGGATTACAGGCATGAGCCACCGTGCCCGGCCCGGCATCCTTTTCTCTATCAAAACAGTGGACTCCAAGGGGGACTAAAAGCCAACCCTTGTCCCCATTAGAAGATATGTTATTATTTCCATTTATTGGATGCAAATGTGGACAATTGTTTGAGGGCATCGCCATGCAGATCTGAGGTGGCCTCCCACAGTCTTCTGCCCACACCTCAGTGGAGGCGTCAGAGAACGATGTTCCATGTATCATGTCTCCACATGTGTGTTGATCAGGCTGGAAATACTCTTAAGAAGGAGAAGTTTGGGTTTCTGTTTCTGGGAATGGAGACACTGCCCTGTAATGATCTTAAGTGACTACCCCAAGGAGTGAACTGCAGGTCAAGCATTTCTCTTCCTCCTAGGGTTGCAAGTGACATTGTGTGGCCTGGGCTGCAGGTCACACTCATTGCAAGGCGCCATAGCACCCAGCCCCCACCCCACGTCAGGCCTCTGCACCTGCTGTCTCCTTTGAGGTCCCCACTGGGAACTCTTCCCGGCTCCTTCCCCAGCTCAACCTCACTTCCTGGCACTCCGGTTCCAATATCATCTCCCTGGAGTCTTCTCTCTCCCCTCTGCCGCTCTCTGGTTCCTGGGCCTGCTACCTCCTGTTGCCACGTGATTGATGGGCATGTTCATTACTTGTGTTGTTTTCCCCACTCAGTGCTGACCACGTCCTGCCCACCACGATGTTCTCTGCACGTAGAGTGTGGAGTGAGCACTTGGTCAACCGTTGTCAGTAGGGAAAGATGGAAAGCAGTGGGTAAGGCAATAGCACATATGAATCAGTTAGCATTACAGTAATACTACAGGATAGAAACCCCATGGGTGTTTTCTTGTTTGCTTTTGTATCCCGGGGACTAGAATACCTCCTGCATGAGGTAGCTGGTCAGTAATCCTGCAGCCTAAGTGAGTAACCAGGCTCTGTACCTGAGAAACTGTAAGGTAAAGAAGGTTGAAATTGTCGTCATGGGAGGTGCAGAGATGATTGAATAGTGAACTTTGGTAGGTTGACTGGAGCCATGAGGCCCCAGGGGGCATAAGCTAGTTTAGCAGCTCTGTGACGTCGGAAACCTACAGGTACTGGGTCCAAGGATGGAGTCATTGGAACACCCCAGTGTGGCCCCCGAGTAGCAGCAAGGGGCATGGGCCGGGAACCTATGATTCTGGCACGAAAGTGTTGAAAAGAGGGACTGGGTGTCTGACCTGGAGGGGATGAAGTGAAGACAGAGAACCAGTCCAGAAAGAGAGAAACTGGAAGTCACATATCGTAAGGAACTGCTGTTGGGCACAGCTGACCAAGTGATGAAAAGGAGGTTGTGGTGAAGAACAGGGCAACTGAAAGCACAGCTTCCCAGCAGGGGCAGACACAGGTGGTGATGATGCCTGGGTGTCCTGGCAGGGGTATGCTGAGGGGCGTGAGGGTAGGACATGAAACCTGGCAAAGGAGGTTAAGGCAGCTGGCAGAGCCGTCCCACGGGGGTAGGGCTCATTTAGGACAAAGAAATGGGAGAAGAGCAAGATGGGCCCTGACGCTACAGGCCCCACTGAATGAGGAGAAGGGCAAGCTACAGCAGAAGGGTGAGGAGCAGCCGGGGCTGGAAGCAGCTACATGAGCAGGACCCCTCTAACACTCCACAGTTCTCCAACTGGCACTAAAACTTGAATGCAAACAATGTTTCTCCCAAATTAAGAGTGGAGAGAATCAGCTCTTTGAATAACTTAGTTTTTTATTGCTTGGCTGAGAATCTCTGAAACTGTAAAGGACCTTGGTAGAATAAGAGGAGATAAAATAAGAGGAGAAAAAAGACCTGTGGGAGAACAGTGCATCCCAGTCCCCTGATGACTGCCCTCCTAGAATAGGGGCCTCATCCTCAGCCCAGCCTTCCCCCTCAGAGCCTGAGTGGCCCCTGCCCCCAGCGCTCCCCAACGCACCTGACCCCTCAGCCAGGCTGGCCATGCCTGAAGGGGTGGCCTGCCCCTCCACACCTGTGGGTATTTCTAGTCGGGTGGGACGAGAGACTGAGAAAAGAAATAAGACACAGAGACAAAGTATAGAGAAATAACAGTGGGCCCAGGGGACCGGCGCTCAGCATACCAAGGACCTGCACCAGCACCGGTCTCTGAGTTCCCTCAGTTTTTATTGATTATTATTTTCATTATTTCAGCAAAAAGGAAAGTAGTAGGAGAGCAGGGTGATAATAAGGAGAAGGTCAGCAAAAAACGTGAGCAAAAGAGTCTATGTCGTAATTAAGTTCAAGGGAAGGTACTATGCCTGGATGTGCACGTAGGCCAGATTTATGTTTCTCTCCGCCCAAACATCTCAGTGGAGTAAAGAATAACAAGGCAGCATTACTGCAAACATGTCTCGCCTCCCGCCATAGGGCTGTTTTTCTCCTATCTCAGAATTGAACAAATGTACAATCGGGTTTTATACCGAGACATTCAGTTCCCAGGGGCAGGCAGGAGACAGTGGCCTTCCTCTATCTCAACTGCAAGAGGCCTTCCTCTTTTACTAATCCACCTCAGCACAGACCCTTTACCGGTGTCGGGCTGGGGTACAGTCAGGTCTTTCTCATCCCACGAGGCCGTATTTCAGACTATCACATGGGGAGAAACCTTGGACAATACCCCGCTTTCAAGGGCAGAGGTCCCTGCGGCTTTCTGCAGTGCATTGTGCCCCTGGTTTATTGAGACTAGAGGATGGCGATGACTTTTACCAAGTATACTGCTTGTAAACGTTTTGTTAACAAGGCACGTCCTGCACAGCCCTAGATCCCTTAAACCTTGATTTCATACAACACGTGTTTTTATGAGCTCCAGATTGGATCAAAGTGGTTAGGTCAAAGTGGCTGGGGCAAAGCTACAAATTGACAACATCTCAGCAAAGCAATTATTCAAAGTACAGGTCTTTTTCAGAATGGAGTCTCTTATGTCTTCCCTTTCTACATAGACACAGTGACAGTCTGATCTCTCTTTCTTTTCCCTACAATGCCCACGGTGTCAACTCCAGCCTTGCACTCACTGCTACCTCCAGACACTGCCATCTCCAGAAACTCCTTTTTCCTCTTCCCTGTGCTACCTGGACTTCTCTTGGATGGGCTTGTTAGTAGACTGGCACTCCTGAGGAAAGAATCCCTGAGCTTTAGGACGTATCAGTTAAAACCCCTGTCTCAGTCCATTTCTGCCACTACAACAAGATATCACAGATTGTCATTATTTATTTATTTATTTATTTTGAGACAGTCTCACTCTGTCACCCAGGCGGGAGTGCAGTGGTGTGATCTTGGCTCACTGCAACCTCTGCCTCCCGGGTTCCAGCGATTCTCCTGCCTCAGCCTCCCAAGTAGCTGTGATTACAGTCGCGTGCCACCATGCCTGGCTAATTTTTTGTATTTTTAGTGGAGATAGGGTTTCACCATGTTGGCCAGGCTGGTCTTGAACTTCTGACCTCAGGTGATTAGCCTGCCTCGACCTCCCAAAGTGCTAGGATTACAGGTGTGAGCCACCACACCCGGCCAAAGATTGTCATTTATAAACAACAGAATTCACTTCTCACAGTTCAACAGGCTGAGAAATCCAAGGTTAAGGCACCAGCAGATTTGGTGTCTGATGAGGTCACGCTCTGCTTCCAAGATTGCTCCTTGTTGCTGCATCCTCATATGGTGAAAGGAACAAAAGGGATGAATGGCTGTGTCTTTACATGGCATAAGAGATGGAAGGCCCAGGCAGCTCTCTAAAGCCTCTTTTATTAATATGAGGGCATTAGTCCTATTCACAAGAGCAGAGCCCTCATGACTTAGTCACTTCCCTAAAGGCCCCACCTCTTATTACCACCACAGTGGGGATTAAGTTTCCACACGAACAATGGAGGGACACAAACATTCGAGGCATAGCAACCTTCAAAACTGAAAAGCATGCTGGACACAGTGGCTCATGCCTGTAATCCCAGCACTTTGGGAGGCCAAGGCAGGAGGATTGCTTGAGCCCAGGAGTTTGAGACTAGCCCTGACAACATAGCGAGACACCTTGTCTCTACAGTAAAATTTAAACGTTAGCTGGGCATGGTAGTATATACACGTAATCCCAGCTACTTGGGAGGCTGAGACAGGAGGATCACTTGAGCCCAGGAGTTTGAGGCTGCAGGGAGCCATGATCACTCCACTGCATTCCAGTCTGGGCAACAAAATGAGACCCTGTCTCAGAAAAACCAGCCGAACAGCCAAACAAGGAACAAACTAAAAAGCAAAGAGAACGAAGTCTGAATAAAGCAGAAAAGGCTATCCAAGGACTGTGGGACAATAACAAAGGTGTAACTTACTTGTAATGAGAATACCAGGAGAAGAAAGGGAGAAAGGAACAGAAGAAATATTTGAAGCAATAATGAATGAGAATTTCCACCACGTTAATGTCAGACACCAAGCCACAGATCCAAGAGGTTCAAAGAATGCCAAAAAGGATAAATGCCCAGAAAACTACACCTAGGCATATCGTGTTCAAACTACAGAAAATCAGAGATAGAGAAAACATCCTGAAAGAAGCCAGAGGAACAAGACTCCAACAGAGGAACGAAGATGAGAATGACACGCTCACCTCCTCCAGCCGGTAACCAGGAAAAAGTGTAGGGAGACATGTGAAGTGTCCAGAGGAAGGGAAGCAAGACCCTAGAATTCTGTACCCTGAGAAATTATCTGTCACAAGTGAAGAAGAAATAAACATTTTCTCAAACAAAAATTGAGGAAATCTGTCAGTTGACCTGCCTTGGAAGAAATAGCAGAAGAAATTCTTTAGAGAGAACAAAAATGGTGTAGGTCAGTAACAGATCCACATAAAGAAAGGAAACCATCAGAGCAGGAATAAGCAACAGTAAAATAAAAACTCTTATTTTTATTATTCTTAGTTGATCTAACAGATAAAAGTTTGTTCAAAACCATAATTACTGCATGGTGTTAGACTGTGTATACTTATGTGCATATCTCTATCTGTGATACACATACACCTGCTTTTATATTAATATAAGTGAAACGAATAAGCAGCCACTGTCATCATGTCAGTTGCAGTGGGTGGGGGGTGGTGCATGGGTGGTGGTGGTGGAAGCAGCTGCAGGAGTGGCAGTAACAGCGGTGGGACCTCTGTGTCCCACATCCCCAAGGCAGCCAACTGTGCTGCCCCAACCCTTGTGTGGCCAGGCAGGACCTGCTCCCAGGCCCAGGGCCTCCACCACTGCAGACTCTGGCCCCGTGTCACCGCTCTTGCCTGCTGATGCAGGGAGGGCACAGGAAAGAGGTGAACAGTACCCGGAGCCCACCCCTGGGAGCCCCCTGGAACCTGTCACCCTAAGAGCCGCTGTGATGGAGCCAGGCCGAGCTGCCTGCTGACGGGAGAGCAGTGCAGTTGGGCACACAGGAGCAGGCAGAGAGGGGCCCAGTGGGGACCTGGAACCCCCACCCCGGCTGTGAGGAGGCATGGCCAGGGCTGCACACTCCACGGAGCCTGTGGGAGCCAGGAATGAGTGGGAGCCCCACCCCTTCTGAGTTGGCATGTCAGGAGCTCCCTGGGTACAGCTGCAGCCACCTGGCCATGGCTGCGGACCCAGGCATGTGTGTGGTTCTGCACTCTCAGGAGCCCAGGAAGGCCCCCTGTCTCCCCGCAGGCTCAGAAGTGCCTGCTCCCACTGCCTGGCTTCTCCCCACTGTTGGCACCAGCTCCGATCTTGGAGAAAAGTTGGGGCCAAGCCCAGGCACTGTCACAGCCCGGCTGGGTGTGCCCACACTTAGGGCAGAAGTGACATGCCAGCCCCTTGCCACCTCAGCCCCCTCCAGATTTGGGCACTGACAAGCACAGGAGGGAGGCTGAGGGGGATGCAGAGGACAGCACAGTGCTGGCTGCGTGCCTCTTGGCATGAACAGCCTGCGTGCCATGAACAGCAACAGGAGGCAGACGGACTCCTGGGCAGAAGGGGTCAGGTTCCTGGTGAAGCCCCACCTTCAAGCTGGGGAGGGCCTGAAGCCTGGGGTTCCAGCTGCCTGTCCTGCAAGCCAGAGAGGGAACTTGTGGTGCTTTTCCCTGGGTCTGCCCATGGCCACCCATGGACCAATCAGCATGCACTTCCTCCACACTGAGGCCCATAAAAACCCTGGACTCAGCCAGACTCTAGCAGAGGATGGAGATATGATGGGGAGACGATGGGCTGACTAGCTGCAGGGAGGAGCTACCCTCTCTGCTGAGAGCTGAAGAAAGGACAGGATGACCAGCTACAGAGGGGAGCTGCACACCCCAAGGTCTCCTCTCTGCTGAGAGCTGAGACGTCAGGACAACCAGCTTCAGGGAGGAGCTACCCTCTCTACTGAGAGCTGAACACTTGTCAGGATACCGTGGCTATGGAGAGGAGCTGCCCACTGTGGGTCTCCTCTGAGCTGTTCTATTGTTCAGTAAAGCTCCTCTTTGTCTTGCTCACCCTCCACTTGTCTGCGTACCTCATTCTTCCTGGATGCAGGACAAGAACTTGGGACCCATCAAGTGGTGGGGCTAAAAGAGCTGCAACACAAGCAGGGCTGAAACATGCCCCTTGTTCACCATGCTGTGGGTGAAGAGGAGAAAAGAGAGAAGGAGAAAAGAGCTGAGGCTCTTGGGGGGTCCCAGACCTGGGAGCTCCCTGAGCCAGGGCTGTGACTCCCACTTTGGGGCCCTGCAGTTCCTGGAGCCTCCAAGCTTCTGGGCACCACTGCATTCCCCAGTGCCAACTATGGAAGCTTCTTGCAGTATGCCTGGTCCAGGCACAGCCTCGCAGTGAGCCAGCACCCATGCTGGCACCTGGAGCTGCCCATCTCACTGCAGCAGCTGGCATGACTGGCTGTGCAGTGACTGGACCCCACACTCACTCACTCACACACCCCTCGCCACTCCACTCCAGTCTCTTCAGAGGGATGGGATCCAGGCCAGTAGCATGAGCTGAGCACAGCCTGCCAGTCCAAGTGGGCCCAGTGGGCCCGAGCAAAATTCGGCAAAGGTGCCACCAGCCACAGAGGTTTCCAGCCAGAAAGGCAACACCCTCAAGATTCCCATAACAACACCAATGATAAGGAACAGGAGAGAGGTATTCAGATTATTTTGTAATATAAGTTACTCACACTACCTGTTAAGCAATATAGTGTTATTTGAAAGTGGACTTGAGTTATTTGTAAGTACATATTGCAAATCCTAGGGCAGCCATTAAAAATGTAATGAAAGAAGTATGACTGATAAACTAAGAAGGGAGAGAAAATGGAATCATATAAAATGCTCAATTAAAACCACAAAAGGCAGAAAAGACAAAAATAACAAATATCAAGAGTAACAAACAAAATAGTAACAAATATGATAGCTATTTATCCAACTATATTAATCACTTTGTAAGAGTAGATTAAAAAAAAAAGGCCCAACTATATGTTGTCCACAAGAAACCATTTTAAGTATAAAGACATATAGCTTAAAAGTAAATGATTGAAAAAAATATACCATGTCAACACAAGTCAAAAGAAAGCTGGAGTAACTATATTAATTTTAGAGCAGACTTCAAAACAAGGAAAGTTAAAGGGAACGATAAAATGGGGTCGATTCTCCAAAAAGGCATAATAATCCTTAATGTGCAAGCACCTAACAATAGAATATCAAACTACTTGAGATACTACAAGAAAAAATAGATGAATCCCCTTATCACAATTGGAGACTTCAACACCCCCTGTCAGAAATGTGCAGATCCAACAAGCAGAAAATCAGTAAGGACATAGTTGAACTCAACGTCATCATCAATCAACTAGATATAATTGATATCTATCATCCAATTCATCCAGCAACAGGATAATACTCATTCTTCTCAAGCTCACATGGAATATTCACCAAGATAGATCATGGATCATCTTCTGGGCCACAAAACACATATTAGCAAATTTAGAAGAACAGAAATAATACAATATCTACTCTTAGACCACAATGGAATTAAACTAGAAGTCAATAACAAAGATAACTGGAAGATCCCAAAACATGTGAATATTAAACAACAACAATGGGGGCTGGGTGCAGTAGCTCACGCCTGTAATCCCAACAATTTGGGAGGCCAAGGCAGGAGGATCACTTGAGCCCAGGAGCTTGAGACCAGCCTGGGCAACATAGCAAGACACCATCTCCACAAAAAAAAAAAAAGTTTAATTAACCAGGCATGGTAGTGCATGCCTGAGGTCCCACCTATTAGGGAGGCTGAGGCAGTAGATCACGTGAGCTGAGAAGTTTCAGCTATGATCATGCCACTGCACTCCAGCCTGGGTGACAGAGTGAGACCCTGTCTCAAAAAAAAAAAAAAAAAATCACATAGGTCAAAGAAGAAATTTCAAGAGACATTTAAAAATATTCTGAACTAAATGAAAATGGAAACACAACTTACCATAATTTGTGGGATGCAGTGAAAGCTGTGCTTCAAGGGAAATTTAGGGCATTGAATGCATATATTAGAAAAGAAGAAAGATCTAAAATCAATAATCTAAGTTTTTGCTTTAAGAAACTCAAAAAAAGAGGCCAGGTGCAGTGGCTCATGCCTGTAATCCCAGCCCTTTACGAGGCCGAGGCGGGCGGATCATGAGGTCAGGAGATCGAGACCATCCTGGCTAACACGGTGAAACCCCGTCTCCACTAAACATACAAAAAATTAGACGGGTGTGGTGGTGGGCGCCTGTAGTCCCAGCTGCTTGGGAGGCTGAGGCAGGAGAATGGCATGAACCCCGGAGGAGGAGCTTGCAGTGAGCCGAGATTGCGCCACTGCACTCCAGCCTGGGCAACAGAGCGAGACTCAATCTCAAAAAAAAAAAAAAAGAAACTCAAAAAAAGAAAAACAAACCCAAAGTTAGAAGTAAAGAAATAATAAAAATTACAGCAGAAATCAATGAAATTGAAAATAGGAACTCGATAGAGAAAAATCAATAAAACTTGGTTCTTTAAAAGATAATTCTTTGGGAAAAAAAATCAGTAAAATCAATAAGCCTGTAGCCAGGCTAACTAAGAAAAAAGAAGGAGGAGGCAAATTACTAATATTTTGCTATTATTAGTAATATTATTACTTATATTACTAGTATATATGTAATAATATAACTATAATAACTATGTTATAATATAACTATATTAGTAATAATATTACTAATATTAAAAAGCTATGATCATCAAGAAAGGAAAAAAGGAGCATCACTACAATCCCTAGGATATTAAAAGGATAATAAAGGGATACTATGAACAAATTTATGCCCACAAATTTGATAACCTAAATGAAAAGGGCCAATTTCTTCAAAGGTTCAATCTGCCAAAATTCACACAAAATGAAATAGGCAATCTGAATAGACCCATATCTATTCAAGAAATTGAATCAATAATTAAACTTCCAAAACAGAACACTGGGCCCAGATGGGTTCATTGGCAAATTCTATTAAACATTTAAGGAAGAAATTTTACCTATTCTCTACAATCGCTTTCAGAGGACTGAAGCAGTGGGAATACCTCCTGTATGTATTCTGTGAAGCAGCACTACCTTATAACCAAAACCAAAGACATTACAAGAAAACAGTAAATCAATATCTCTCATGAACATTGATGCAAAAATCCACAGCAAAACTTAGCAAATTCGATTAAAAGTGTATAAAAAGTATTATATGCCATGACCAAGTGGGATTCATTCCAGGTATGCAAGGCTGGCTCATCATTCAAAAATCAATGTAATTAATCACATCAATGGGCTAAAAAAAGAAAAATCACATGATCATATCAGTAGATGCAGAGAAAGCATTTAACAAAATCCAACATTCATTCATGATTTTTAAAATCCCAATAAACCAAGAATAAAGGAAACTAGAAGTTGAGGAAAACTTTCTCAACTTGATAAAGAATATCTCCAGGCTGGGCATGGTGGCTCGCCCTGTAATCAGAACACTTTGGGTGGCTGAAGAGGGAGGATCACTTGAGCCCAGGAGTTTGAGAACAGCTTGAGCAACATAGCAAGACCCCATCTTTACAAAAGAATTTTTAAAATTAGCTAGGCGGTGGCTCATGTTTGCCATCCTAGCTACTTGGGAAGTGGAGATGGGAGGATCACTTGAGCTCAGGAGTTTGAGATTACAGTGAGCTATGATTGCATCACTGCACTCCAACCTGGAAGACAGAGGGAGGCCCCGTCTTAAAAAAAAAAGGAATATCTGAAAAACAACCTCTACCTAACATCATACTTAATACTGAGAAACTTGAAGCTTTCTCACTAAGATCAGGAACAAGGCACTCACCACTCCTCTCACCACTCCTCTTAAACATCGTAACATTGTACTGAAAATGTTAGATACTGCAATAAGGCAAGAAAAGGAAATAAAAGATATAGTGATTAGGAAGGAGGAAATAAAGCTGTCTTTGATGGCAGATGACATGATCATCTATGTAGAAAATACCAAATAATCAATAAAAAGACATGTGGAAGGAATAAACAATTATAGCAAGGATGAAGGATATAAGGTTAATCTACAAAAGTCAATCACTTTCCTATACACCAGCAAGTGACGACTGAGATTAAAAACATGATAACAATTATATTAGCACCCAAAAAGTGAAATACTTAGGTATAAATTGAACAAAATATGTGCAAGATCTGTATAAAGAAAACTACAAAACTCTGATAAATGTAAATAAATGGAGAGATATTTTATGTTAATGGATAGGAAGATACAATATTGTCAAAATGTTAGTTCTTTCCAATTTGATCTATAGATTCAATGCAATCCCAATAAAAATCCCAGCAAGTTGTTTTGTTGATATCAGCAAACTCATTCTGATGTTTATACGGAGAGGCAAAAGGCCCAGAAAAGCCAATTTAATATTGAAGGAAAAGAACAAAGTTGAAGGACTGAAACTCATGGACTTTGAGACTTATTAAAAGCTATGATCATCAACACAGTGTGGTATTAATGAAAGAATAGGCAAATCATCAACTGATCTTTGACACAGCAACAAAGGCAATACAGTAGAGCAAAGACAGCCTTTTCACAAATGGTGCTGGGACAACAGAACATCCACATGGAAGAAGAGGAATCCAGACACAGACCTTACAGCCTTCACAAAATTTAACTCAAAATGGATCATAGACATAAATTTAAAATGCAAAAAAAGTATAAAACTCCTAGAAAATAATATAAGAGAACACCTAGAGGACCATGAGTATGGGAATGACTTTTTTTTTTAAATCAGCAAGCAGAGCTGGCAAGAAATAGGTTTTTAGACACAATGCCAATGGCATGATCTATGAAAGAAATTATTGACAAGCTGAACTTCATTAAAATTAAAAGCTTCTGCTCTGTGAAAGACAATGTCTGGAGAATCAGGAGACATCTATAGACTGGGAGAAAATATTCGCAAAAGATACGTCTGATAAAAGACTGTTTCCAAAATACATAAAGAACTCTTAAAACTCAACAATAAGAAACTAAACAATCCAATTTAAAAATTAGGCCAAAGACCTTAGCAGACACCTCACCAAAGAAAATATATAGGTGGCAAATAAACATATGAAAAATGCTCCACATCTTATGCATGAGGGAAATGCAAATTAAAACAATAATGGCCAAAATCCAGAACACTGACAACACCAAATACTGTCAAGGATGTGGAGTAACAGGAACTCATTCATTTCTGATGGGAATTCAAAATCATACAGCTGCTTTGGAAGACAAAATGGCAGTTGCTTACAAAACTAAACATACTATTACCATACAATCCAGCAATTTTGCTCCTTGGAGTTGAAAACTTTTGCCCACACAAAAACCTGCACATGGATGTTTATAGTAGCTTTATTCATAATTGCCTAAACTTGGAAGTAAAAAAGATGTCATTCAGTAGGTAAATGGATAAATAAACCACGGTACACCCAGACAATGGAATATCATTCAATTCTAAAAAGAAATGAGCTATCAAATATGAAAAAACATGGAAGAACCTTAACTGCATATTATTAATTGAAAGGAGCCAATGCTAAAAGACTGCATACTATATTATTCTAACACTATGACATTCTGGAAAAGGCAAAGTTTACTATGGAGACAGTAAAAAGATACGGGTGGGTGGGTGGGTGGGGGGAGGAAGGAAGAGCTGGAGCACAGAGGATTTTTAGGGCCATGAAAATATGCTGTATGATAATGCAGTGACGGATACCTGTTATTGTACATGTGTCCAGACTCATAGAATATGTGACACCAAGAGTGAACCCTAACGTAAACTATGGGTTTTAGGTAATTATGATGTGTCAATGTAGGTTCATCGATTGTAACAAACATACCACTCTGGAGGGGCATGTTGATAATGGGGGAGGTTATGCATGTGTGGATGCAGAGGGTATATGGGAAATATCTGTACCTTTCTCTCAATTTTGTTGTGAACCTAAAAGTTCTCTTTAAAAAATCATTTAAAATTTTTTTTAAATCGCAAACAAAAACACAACATAAAAGGACTGTGTTACCAAAATTGGCTTCTGAAGAGAAAGTCCAAACAGACCAGTTATCAGACAGTTATCTATAGTTTCATAAGAAAATTATACCAAACATTTGATGATCAGAAAATCCAATCCTGCTTAAATTGTTCCAGTGCAGGGAGAAAGAAAATTTTCTAATTTATGAAGCAAATAGGAGACATTGATCCCAAAACATGACAAATACTTCACCAAAAAAGTAAAAAAACACAAATCAATCTCACGTATGAATATCAATATGAAGACAAAAACATTCATAAAATAATATCAAACAAAATCTGAAGCACACTTTAAATAATCTTAACCAAGGAAATTCCATAGATGCAAGGGTGATTCCATATGAGGAAAGCCACTAATATAATTTACCACAATAATAGGCTGAGGAAAAAATTATACAATTGGTTCCATAGAGGCAGAAAATATTTTGACACAATTCAACACCCATTTATGCCAAAAAACAAGCAATAAAATAGAAATTACAATGATATGTCCCTAACATGATAAAATACTAATTAATATCTCACCTCAAAGCCAGTATCTTAATTAATAGAAAAACACTAAAAGTGTTCCTTCTATGGTAATAGATAAAACAAGGATGCCTACTATCTCTTACAATTTCTAAATTGTATTGGAGGTGTTAGTCAATGCAATTAGACAAGATAAATCCATTAGAGGCATAAAAATATTTTACAATAGATATTTTATTTGTAAATGAAATTCCTAAGTATCTGGAAAAAAACAAAACAATCAATGGAAAAACTACTAAAAACAAAAAATAAATTAGTAAAGATAATTAGGGCAGAATAGAATATTCAGATAGATTTAATTGCATATGAAAATTTAGAAAACAATAAAAGCAGTGTCTGTATTAGTCCATTTGTGATGCTATAACAGAATGCCCAGACTGGGTAATTTATAAAGAACAGAATTTTATTTCTCACAGTTCCAGAGACTGGGAAGTCCAAAATCAAGGCACTGGCAGCTGGTGTCTGGTGAGGATCTTCTTGCTGTGTCCTCATATGGCAGATGGTGGAAGGGCAAAAAGTGATGGACTCTGTGTCCCCATGTAGCAGAAGAGCATGAGAGACCCCACTCCCAAAAGCCCTTTTTATAGTGACATTAATCCATTTAGGAAGGCAGGCCTCACCTTCTAACACTGTTGCAGTGGATATTAAGTTTCCAACACATAAATTTTGGAGAATATATTTATATATAGCAGTATCTTAGACTGTTTGGGCTGCTATAACAAAACACTATAAGCTGGTGATGTACAAACAATAAAAACTTATTTCTCGCAGTGCTGGAGGCTGGGAAGTCCAAGGTCAAGGAGTTGGCAAATGTGTTTGTAGAGACAAAGTTTCACCATGTTGGCCAGGCTGCTCTTGAACTCCTGACCTCAGATGATCCATCTGCCTCGGCCTCCCAGAGTGCTGGGATTACAGGTGTGAACCACTGCACCTTGCCAAAGTTAATACAATAGACTGAAACATGTCAAATATGTTTTAACATTTTACTTCCTAATGTCTTTTAAAAAAACAAAACAAAACACCTCACTAGTCACCTTTGGAAGGTACTAAGAACCAACTCACTATTTTGAAATTGGCAAATAGAGAAAACCTAGTAAGTTTCTTGCCAGTGCAAAGCTTTTCTTTACAGAAGTATTCCAGCAAACAAATACAGATTGAATGATGGAATTAGAATATCTCCACTTTTCAAACCATAATGAAGTAATGGATCTAGGATCATTCACTGCTGCTAACATCACAAGGTAGAGACAAGCAAAAATTTGTACCTGCCAATAAAATGTCAAGATACCACCTGTGGTTTATCAAGGAAAAAGAAAAATGAACCTGAATTTCTAACTGCCAATATACAGAAAATGTCAGGCATGTGATCAGCAAAATCCAGACTCAGAAACTCTACAGGACAAATTCTCTGGATTTCTCATAGCAAATTGCAGGGAGAAAAACAGGGAAATTGTACATTAGACGTAAAAGATGTACGACCAGTGGCAATATAGGCCTTTTTACGTGAGTCCTGAGTCAAACATGGAAGGGAGGAGGGTGGAAGGGAGATCGGGTCTCCATTTTTTATACTAATAAGCACTCTGTTGGGGGCACTCATTTCCCCCCCAAGAGCATTCTTTGATGATTTTGCCAAAACCAATCTTTACAATGATGGTTACAAAATGGTGATTTTTCGACCACACCACTGCTTCTACGTTTACCAACTGGCATTTTGCTGTAAGGAAACACTCCCTTCCCCCCGTACCTAATGTTTAAATTAAACAAGAAGCAACATCAGATAACATTAAGGGGTTCAAAAGGCCTTGGTCAACAAGTTCTGCCACCAGGCAAGCTAGTGTGACATTTTTAATAACAGTTATGTTCTCAAATCTTTATCTGGAGCTTGAAGAAACTTGCTTCTAGAAAGCTCTGTGTAGGCATCTCAGATTAAACATAGTTAACTCAGAATTTCCTGTCCATGCCCCAAACCCACTCACCACCTTCTCTGTCTTAGTGTCACCTGGTATGAAAACTGAAAGCAGAGGGCATTCTTCATGCCTTCCTTTCCCTTCACCCCCGCCCCACACATGTACACCGCACCTGGGCCTGGATCTTGCCACCTCCCCGCCCAGTGGCCCCACAGCCCTGGGCATGCTGCAGGCCCAGGTCTCCTCCCTGGATGACCACAGGAGCCTTGGCATTGGCCTCCCTGCCTTCCTTCAGGCTTCTCTTCGTTCACACGTAGTGACAGAGGAGCCTGTAAAAAGTGACCATGTGACCATGTCACTCCTCTGCCTCTATTTTCAATGGTTCCCTTTCCTTTGGGGACCAAGTTGCAGCTCCTAAGTGTGCTCTGTGAACACGTCTCCATCTGCCCCTTTCTCCACCTCCTGACATCTCGCTGCATCTTCTCCACCCTCTGTGCTGTCACCACATTGCACGTGGGTTCAGTCCCCAGCCTGGCTATCCTTCTCCATGTGCTGGGGGTTTCTTCCTCCACTGGGGAGTTTCCCAATGCTGTCGCCTTCAGGTTATCCGTGAGCAGGTCCCGTAGTTAACTATCTATAAAGGAATGTCTAGAATATGCGGGGATTCCTTTTTATTGCAAGCAGTGATACATACAGGTCTCATGCATTTAACCTGTCACATTTTAAATATAAATGTTTCCCTTATTTGTACCTTTTCTAAGTGGAAACTTTAGAGATTGTTGTACAGCTAATGCCTAAGGTGCTCATCCTGAAATACTGGTGGAGAGCTTGGAAATTAAAGTGAGGTGGATGCAGGGACATAACTCACTGTATAAAAGGCCTCCTGGCAGCTGGGTGCAGTGGCTCACGCCTGTAATCCCAGCACTTTGGGAGGCCGAGGCAGGTGGATCACAAGGTCAGAAAATCGAGACCATCCTGGCTAATGCGTTGAAACCCTGTCTCTACTAAAAATTACAAAAAAAAAAAAAAAAACTAGCTGGGCATGGTGGCGGGCGCCTGTAGTCCCAGCTACTCGGGAGGCTGAGGCAGGAGAATGGCATGAACCCGGCAGACGGAGCTTGCAGTGAGCCAAGATTGCGCCACTATGCTCCAGCCTGGGCAACAGAGCGAGACTCAAAAAAAAAAAAAAAAAAAAGCCTCTTGGCAATAGAGTGCAGACTAGAAATGTCACCAGGTGTTGGCATTTAACAAATTCTCACCCTGCACCCACTTAATTCTGTCTTTTAAAAGGGCAATAGAGGCTCATTTCTGAGGGTGCCTGGCTTCCTCCAGGGGATACTCGGATTCCAAATCTAAGCACGAGCCTCTTTCAGAACTTCAGGCCGTGTGCTGACATGGAATCCCTGGTGCCACGAAAGACCCCAGAGCAGCACAATCTGAGCTCACTCTGTTTCCAATACTGCGCCCAGGTAACGCTGCCTCCTCATGCCACAGGTCCAGAGCGCCCAGCCGCTGGTAGACACCCGCGCCCCGCTGACGTTCCGCCATCTCCACCTGAAACTCAAGAGGCTGAAGGTACACTTTCATTTCTACCTTACTT